>NT_113930.2:0-185591 GCF_000001405.40 Homo sapiens | reverse complement strand
ACAAACATACTACCTGGAAGCAAATGTACCTTTAAGGATGAGTAGATTCAACAAACAGGGCACGTATATTCACTGGGATAGCATTCAGCCTTAAAAATAAGGAAATCTTGAAAAGTACTACAATAAGGACAAATCTCGAAAACATTCTGTTAAGTAAAACAAGACAGTCAAAAAGGAAAACTGTATAATTACACCTATGTAAAATATTTAGTCAAACTCAAAGAAACCAAGTGTTGTAGTCTCAGCAGTGCACCAAGATGTAACAGTCTCTCATAGTCTGAGATAGCATCGAAAGTTCTTTGTTCTACTTCTAGGGAGATTAAGGAGCGTGAACACAAAGGTGAGGTTAGAGTGAAAGTTTGATAAGCAAGAGAAGAAAGCTCTTTGCCAGCAGAGATAGTTTCTGAATGGGGTGACCTCTGTGAGGCTGGGGCCCAAGGTTTTTATGGACTGGGAAAGGAAGAGAAGGAAATGTGCTTAGTTCACAGGCTGTCTTGAAAAAAGTGTGGCTCAGCTTGGCCCAGGACTTTGGCCCGGGACCAATCAGGAGCTGAAGGGATGATTCATAGATGCTATTTAGATTGGCCCAGGACTTATCAGAAGCCAAAGTGAAAGCTTGGCGCAGGAGCTTGTCCCGGAAGCAATCAGGGGCTGAAGTAATTATTCACAGAGGTCAGACTTACAGTCCAAATAAAGGAGAGTGTCGACCGGAATGCACCAGAGCCCACTGTGCTTATGCCCACAGAAGGAGAAGAAACATTTTCCTGGGAGCGCACTGACTGCACAAAGTACAAAGGCGTTTCTTTTTTTCTTTTTCTTTTCTTTCTTTCTTTCATTTTTTTTTTTTGAGATGTACTTTCTTATTATTTATTTATTTATTTATTTATTTATTTTGAGACGTAGTTTTGCTCTTGTTGCCCAGGCTGGAGTGCAGTGGTGCGATCTCGGCCCACAGCAAACTCCGCCACTTGGATTTAAGTGATTCTCCTGCCTCAGCCTCCCAAGTAGCTGGGATTACAGGCATGAGGCGCCATGCCCGGCTAATTTTGTATTTTTAGTAGAGACAGGGTTTCTCCATGTTGGTCATGCTGGTCTCGAACTCCCGACCTCAGGTGATCCGCCCACTTCCGCCCAAATTGCTGGAATTACGGGCATGAGCCACCATGCCTGGCCAAACAAAGGCATTTCTATGCCAGGTCGGTCTTGTTCCCTTATCTCAGTGAGCTGGAGGTTTGTACCAGTTTTTATCCAAATGGGCCAGAGGTTTTTCTGTCTGTGCAGCCATGGGCAGGTCTCCAAGCACAACACCATGTGCTAGTTACCTTGTTAGTGTCTGCAGCTTGATTTTTTCCAGGATTCCTTTTATGTTATGCAGGGATGAGATACTGACCCAAGGGCCAGGGACTTTCCAGGGACCCTTCTCTTGCTATCTAACTAAAGCAAGCTAACTAACTTGTTTCAGAATTAATGAGTATTCACTTTTAATTTTGTAAGACAAAAATTATCTAAAACCTATTGCAAAAAAAATAGAACTATACTTACCACTTCTAAACCATATACTTAAAATGTTAGAAATGAAAATGGCATGTTTTTAACTACGATTAGAAATTTAGGACTACCTAAAAGGCACGGTTACAAAATCTTCAAACATCCCCTTCAAATAACAAAGGGTTCTTCTCACATAATTATTTAGATTTAAACTATAAGTTGATTGTAAATTTAAGATTATTTCCCTGACTACTCACCAAGATAGAATAAAATAATCACTAGAAACCAAGAAAAGAGGAAAATTTATAGCACTAATGTCCACATCAAAAAGCTAGAAAGGGCTGGGTGTGGTGGCTCATGCCTGTAATTCCAGCACTTTGGGAGGCTGGGGTAGGCAGATCACTTGAGACCAGGTGTTCAGGACCAGCCTGGCCAACAGCAAAACCATATCTCTACAAAAAAATACAAAAATTAGCTAGGTGTGGTGATTCACATCTGTAATCCCAGCTACTCAGGAGGCTGAGACAGCAGAAGTGACTTAAAACCGAGAAGAGGAGGTTGCAGTGAGCCGAGATTATGCCACTGTACTCCAGTCTGGGTGACAGAGTGAAACTCTCCCACAAGAAAAAAAAAAAAATTAGAAAGATCTGAAGTTAACAGCCTAACATCTTGATTAAAAGAACAGAAAACCAAGTGAAAACAAACCTGAAAGCTAGCAGAAAACAAGAAATAGCCAAGATCAGAGTAGAGCTGAAGGAGATAGAGACACTGAGAACTCTTCCAAAAAAAAAAAAAAAAAAAAAACTCAACCAATCCAGGAGCTGTTTTTATGAAAAAAAAAAAAATTTATAAACTAGATGGAACACTAGTTAGGCAAATAAATAAGAAAAGAAAGAACCAAACACAAATAGAAATAATAAGGGAGATATCATCACTGATCCCATGGAAATAAGAACAATGATCAGAGAATACTATAAACACCTCTATGCTCATAAACCAGAAAATCTAGAAGAAATGGACAATTTCCTTGCAAAATAAACTCTCCACAAGACTGAACCCTGAATAGATCAATAATGTGTTCTGAAATTGAGGCAGTAAGAACTAGCCTACCAAGCAAGCTGAATTTGACTTGAGGTAAAGAGGAGATAGTACATTTTCTCCTAAAACTATCCAAAAAAAATTGAAGACAAAGAAGTTCTCTCTAACTCATTCTATCAGGCCAGCATCATCCTGATACCAAAACCTAACATAGATACAACAACAACAACAACAACAACACATCATGCCAATGTCTTTGATGAACACTGTGCAAACATCCTCAATAAAATACTGGCAAACCAAATCCAGCATCACATTAAAAAGTGCATCCACCACAATGGAATTGGCTTTGTCCCCAGGATGCCAAGTTGATTCAACATATGCAAATCAACAAATGTGACTCACAATAAACACATAAGGTGGAGTTCTGATTTCAACACACACACATTCTCTCTCTCTCCCTCTCTCTTAGAATCTTCCAGTGCATTCACACTGAAAGCCAAAGTCCTCCCAGTATCTTGTGAGAACCTAAATGATCTGAATAGTTTGTCATTGCTTTTGGGGATCTGGGAAAATCTCTGCACATTTCTGGAGACCGCTGTTATGCCATTTTTAATAAATCTGTTGTGCTTCAATTCGGAAGTGTGTGAGGGGAGTTGTGGAGGAATTGGAATTTGGGTTAGAAATTCCAGGAACACCAGAGACAGATGACATCTGTTTTCTACTTCATAATGTCAAGTTTTACGACGGCTAAAACCTAATTCTACAAGAAAATTAGACAGAAAAACTTTATAGGCAAAAATTATCTTATTAAATAGGAAAATCTAAGTATTTTATTTTAAAATTTCCTTTTTCTTAGTAGGACCTAATCATAGAAATGTAAACTCTATATGCCAACAGCCTCTACTGTAGGATGGTTTATTGTATGTACTCATTTTACTGATTTCTTACAAAAACTTTTTCCGTAAGGGAAATTAGAATATTGTTCAACATATATTGAATTCACAATTATTACTTTATTTCTCACTTAGTATTTTATGATTCTGTCTCCTTTAATATGAAGATTACTATGACTGTGTTTTCACTTTCTGAATTATCATGTGTCACATTTGTCTGTAATTTCCTTTCAGAAGTTGTAAAATAGCATGCTCAAATGTATATATTATGTATAAATTATATAGTTTATAATTTATTAAAATATTTGGCTTGTATGTTTAATTGACCCTAGGCACAATGTTACTATTAGCATCTTCTTCCAGTTTTCCCAACTTTTATTTGACTAATAGTACAATTTATTTCCAATTTTTATTTTATATGTCAATGTTTTATACTGTATTTACAATATTTATATTTTTACCATATTTAGAAATGTAAGACTTTTCAATTAAAAGCTAGATTACAGCCTTACCGTTTTGTGTAAGAAAAGCAGCAATGCATCAGTAGCATAATTTAAAACTTTCTCTAGTATTACTTAAATGCTTATTCCTTAAAACTTTCTCATCAAAGCTCTTTGTAATAATTATAATGTATTTTCTCTGAAATGTTGTTGCCCTAACTGTATCCAAATAATTCAAAATTCATACTTTTCATGGATTCACAGGAAGAGTTAAAAATTGTAGTTACCTAGGATTCTTTTTCATTTGGACACTATGTTTATTCAGGATTTTATGGATTAAAGTTTCTCTTAATTATGTTTTATAATTTTATGTTTCTGTATTTTTTAGAGTAGGCTGTCTCACATCAGTTAATTGTGTTTTTACTTTCTACCTATTTACTATGATTTTGAATTTCATTATTCAAATAAGAATTTGGGGGTTAATGTTTATTTTAACTTTGTTTTGCAATTTTACATTTCTGTGTTTCATGTTTTAGGGTAGGGCACCTTATATTAGTTTATTGTTTTAAGTTTTAATTTATATAATATTGTATAACAATATTCAACTCTGTATGCATTAAGACAGTGTGGGGCAGAAGTCAAATATGAACCATCCCTATGTCTTTTGTTAATATAATGATTTAACTGTTTGTTTGCCTGTATAAACATTGCCCCTATTTTGTTTATGACTTGTATATTTTCTTCTTATTTGATGGCCAATAATTTATTCTGTCTAAGTGAGTAATCATGGAAATTGTCTTAATTTCAACATCTATTGTTTATATTATCTTAGTGTGAAAGAAAGATTTATGCGATTTGAAGATAATTTTTCAGAAACTTTGTAACTCTCTCTCTTTGGGTGTCTTTTTTTTTTTTTTTTTTTTTTTTTGACAAACTCTCACCCTGTCGCCAAAGTGCAGTGGCACAATCTTGGATCACTGCAACCTCCACCTCCCAGGTTAAAGCAATTCTCCAGCTGCTGCCTCTTGAGTAGCTGGCATTAAAGTTGTGCACCACTGCGCCTGGCTAATTTTTGTATTTTTCATGAAGCTGAGGTTTCACCATGTTGGCCAGGCTGGTCTTGAACTTATGGCCTCAAGTAACCTGCATGCCTCAGCCTCCCAGAGTGTTGGGATTACAGGCATGAGTGATCACTCTTGGCCCTTGGGTGTCATTTTTAATTTCGATTGTGGTAAAAATACATAACATAAAATTTAGAATCTTTAATATTTTTTCTTATACAGTTCAGTCATGTTAAGTGTATTTACATTGTTATGCAACATATTTGTAAAATTTTTTCTTTTGCAAAACTAAAACTCAGTACACATGAAATGACAACTACCCATTGTCCTTACCACCTGGCTCCTGATAAAAATCATTCTATTTTCTGGTTCTAAGTTTCAATACTTTAGATATTACATATAAGTAGAATCATAGAGTATCTGTTTTATTGTGACTAATTTTACTTAGCATTATGTTCTCAAGATTCCTCTTTATTGTGGATGGTTCAAGATTTTCTGCCTTTAAAAGCTAAGTAATATTCCATTACTTTTATATTACAAATTGTATTTATTTATTCATTCTATGAGGAAAGTTTGTGTTGCTTTCACCTATTGGCCTTTCTGAATAATGCTGCAATGAATATTGGTATGCAAATAGCTATTTGCTCATATGTGTGAGGTTTACATGTGTGCTACCTTCTGTTTTATTGGAAAAATTGTCTGTCTTTATGCCAGAAACAAACTGTTTTCATTGCTGTTGCTTTGTAATGTGCTTTGAAATCAGAAAAGGTGAGGTCACTAACATTGTTTTTTTTTAAACATTTTTGGGCTCTTTATGGTCGCTTGACATTCCATATAATTTGTTGGTTCCTTTTTCTAGTTCAAAAAAAAAGTTCTTAATTTAAAAGGGATTGCATTGAATCTGTAACTCGCTTTAGACATCATAAGCATTATTCATAATATTAAGTCTTACAACCCTTAAACATGAGCATGCTCAAAAGTGAGTTGTTTAATTTCCATATATATGTCGCTATTTTTGTTTTGTTCTGTTATTCATTTCTAGTTTTATTCCATTTTGATCAGAAATAATAGCCATTGAAAGGCTAAACCACTCTGGAAAGTGACCTCCATTATATAACATTACAAAGATATGTGAGGGCACCACTTCTGCCCTGATGGGCTACTGGGATGAGTTCTCTTAGATGACACATTGCAGACAAATGCAGGAAACAATATAACCCCTTTTTCATGTAAACTCTTCCCTATTTTTGTAGAGTATTGGTGATATTGCTGGCTTTCAAGTCTTGGAGAAGCTCTGGCAGTGCCGTGAACCTGGCTGCTACAGATGATATCGGGGGGAATAATTAAAACTATACAAACTGTAGTAACATGAATAAATGCAGCCTAGTGTAAAGTAAAAACAACACAAAGGTCTTCTCTGATATTTCTACAAGAATGTAAAAAGGGACTTTACACTTAACCAAGTTGCCACTGGGACCAGTTAAGGCTAGATTTTTGGGGGGTAGATCTGAGGGTCACTCATGGAAATCCCCTAAGAGAAAGCGCAGAGAAATTCCATATTTGGGTCTGGATCCTGGGCCCATCCTGGTTTTGTCAGGTCCCTCTCTGTAGAGACCCCCATGTGCCTGCTCTCACCATAACTCATTGTATGCCATGCTTGGGGGGTGTGGTGAACCTGCCAGTTGTCCAAGGAGATGGGGGACTTGAACCCATCAAATATCTGCTCACTGATTTTAATGCAGCTCTACAAAGAGTGTTCCCAGCAGCGAAAAAAGTTAATTGTCTTCTTTGTTTTTACCACCAGGTGACATCTCCATTAGAAATTCTGTTTCCTAGATCAGGAACATAGGAGTATCCGCATAGACCCCCAGCCAATGAGGAAACCCGAGGACAGCTGAAGGCCTTGGGATTCACATCTGAGTAGACGTACTTGGTCCGCAACTCACAACTTTTTATTCCACCAACCGTGACCTGGGTATGAACAAGACAGACCCACCAGGGTTCCTGTGTCTTAAAACCTGCCCCTGTGAGGAAAAGCCGCCTCCTTTCCTGCTCCCCTTGCAACACAGGGTAATGGTAGGCAGGGTCGGGTTGCCCAGATTAGATGACACAGGTGGCCTGGCATGGACGGACCTGCCCTGGGCTACACTGTGTTACCTGTGGGTGCCTCTTGTCGAATGGCCAGTGGTATCAAGGATGTAGGCTGAGCCAGTATGTATACTGTCAGAAAAGGCTCTCACTTTGAGCCTTTCTCAGGCAACAGCTTGGGAATATAGCCTACAATGAGAACACAGTGCCCTCTCAAGCATCTCCCATGAAGTTAGCTAGATACAGGGCTGTCTCTAGAATGTGGGTTTCTGGTTGCCAAAGTTCTAAATTCTGTTAGGTTTTGTCACAAGGGAAGTCTGTTAACTTCTTCAAGGTTTTATCCCCTGAGCCTTTTTCCTCCATAAATCTATGCAAAGTCCCTGCTGGGCTGCTGATTGCTCACCCTCCTCTCCCATGTCAACTCTTTACCTGTAAACAGTTATGCAAACACAATTATGTCCCTTACTTCCCAAAAAGTTCTAAATGCAGCCAGGGCCCCAGGTTTGAGAGAACAGAGTTGGGTTAAAATCTTCTTTTCCTTTTCATTTCTGTGACCATATGAAAATGACTGTGTGCTTCAGGTCTCCCCAGCCCTGAAGTATGCATAATGGGATTATGCTAACATCAACTTCCAAAAACAGTCTTTGGTGATATATGAGATAGAATGAATCAAAATCGGTTGGATGCAGTGGCTCTTGCTGTAATCTTAGCAGATTGGTAGACCAAGGCAGCTGGAACACTTAAGGCCAGGGGTTTGAAACCAGCCATGGCCAGCATGGCAAAAACCCTTCTCTACTAAAAATCCAAAAATTAGCCAGATGTGTTGATGCATGCCTGTAATCCCAGCCACTCAGGAGGCTGAGGTGTAAGAATCACTTGAGCCCAGGAAGCAGAGATTACATTGGGCCATGATCCTGCCACTGCACTCCAGCCTGGGTGACAGAGCGAGACTGTGTCTCAAAAAATATATATATATATAATGTATATAAATAATTTTATTTATATATTATATATAACTATATATATATATCAATTATATATAACTATATATAATATATAAACTTATACATATATATCTTTATATATAAAAGATACATAGTTTATGTATCTTTATACATAAAAGATATATATTTTATATATATGGCCTTAATTTTCCATTCCACAGCAGAAGAGGTTGAAATTAAAAGAAAATCAGATACTGTCTTCTGGCATTAAATATTCCAGTGCTGTGCATTATTTTTAGAATCATATGTATATGCCTCATCTCAGCCTATGTGGTGGGCGCCCCCAACAAAGTCTCACAACAACACTAAGTTGTGAGTGACTCTGTTATTTTAAAACGCAGCTCACCTCTCAGTGCCTCAGAAGCAGGTACTATAACACCGGGTTTCTAACAAAGAGATGGGATTCCAGCTCAAGTCTGTTTCCCTGTGCTTACTTAAAGGTAGTAATAGTCTCAGAAAGGTTTAGGAGGTAGCTTCTGGATTAGTACGGAATTGCTTAAAGGAAAAATGTATGGAAAATCACTGGGCATGAACAACTATTTTTTCTTGCTACACACAGATCACATGTGCAAATTTGGGGACAGTTAGTACAAAACATGTGATGGAAATTTGGGCTTTTACATCAGTGAGCTTATTTCACACAGACTCCAGTTGACCATATTGGTTCCGACCAATTTTAGCCACTTTTTAGAAGTCTCATAAGTGGAATAAATTTCATTCTTTCAACAAGTTGTATCTTTTCTTATCTGTCATTCTGCAAACTGAAGAATTTCTGTTAGTCATTGGATGAACTCTTTGGGGACCTGGTTCTAGTTTCTGTCAAAGGGAAAACAACAAATGTGATAGGTTATCACTTCTGACTTAGTTCAGACTTCTATACCAAAAAACATAGACTAGGCAACTTATAAATAAAAGACATTAGTTCTAGAGGCCAGAAATTTGAGATTGGGCTTCCAGCATGGTTGGGGTCTGGTAAGGACTCTCTTCTGAGTTTCAAACTCCAGACTTCAGGTTGTTTTCTCATTTAGCAGAGAGAAGGAGAGACAGCCTTCTGCGGTTTCTTTTACAAAGCCCGTAATCGCTATCATGAGGTCCTCATGCTTCGGACTTAATTACCTCTGACCTGCTAAGGCCATTACACTGGGGATTAAGGTTCTGGTATGTGAACATGGTGGGAAATCACATAGTCTACTGCAACTTCCAAAGTTATATTTCTAAAACAGCTATTATTTTCCTCTTACTTGCTCTGTCCTGTGCGTCCTCTCTCAATCTCTCTGTCTCCCTTTCTCTCTTTTTCTCTGCATATGTCTGTCTATCTCTTTCATTTTTCATCTCTGTATTGTAATCCTCAAGATGAGGAAGTGATCTGCAGTGTCCTAAGATGCTCTAGGCACAGACCCACATGATAGAGAACTGAGGAGATGCCCAGGCCAATCGAGAGGAAGGAACTCGGGCTCTCAGTTCACACTGAATCGTGCCAGTTTCCATGAGGCAGATAGAAGGCTGATCTATCCTCAAATCCAGCTTCAGTTGAAATCACAGCCCCAGCCTCGTAAGAGACCTTGAGGCAGAGGCACCCAACTAAGCTATATCGAGATTCTGGTTCACAAAAGTTGTGAGATAGTATTTGTTGTCAACATGTGCTAAAATTCAGGGAAATTTTGTCAGAGAGGGGCAAATGACTAATCTCCTCTTTCAGTCCCCAGGATCCTCCCTCCCCTCTTTTCCTTTCTTTCTCAGGCTGCCTGCCGCCACAATTGTCCCGTTATAACCTCCTCTGCTGAACTCACCTGTGCCTGTGAGTCTCTTCACAAAGAGTGGCTTTTCCCTGGCACACTTTCCACACCTGCGCAGGACTGGCTCTCTGTTGTCATTCTGGTGACAACATAATGTCACCTCAGGGAGGCATTCATGTCCCCTCCAGGCAACCTCTCCCCAGCCCTCCCTCCCAACATTCTACTTTATTTCCATTATAAAATGCTCTTTTCTTTCACATGTACTTGCTTTAGTGTTTTTGTCCTGCCGTCCTCAGACCGTGGGCTCCCGCCGGGAGGCAGGGATAACATAATCATTTTTGGTACCACATGGTGAACCTACCAAGGTAGCTGCCACATGGTGAGTGCTAGGGGAAGAGTCGCTGAGTAAAATAACATGGAAAATCACAAAGCCCTTCTGCCCGCTTTTGGCCACCCAATAATGTGGAGATCATGAATGATAACAGGAGGTGCAGGACCTCAGGCTGACTCTCCCCCTAGCTCCAGCTGCTCCAGTAAAGCCCAGCGGGCATAAGAAACACGGGGTCTGCCGCCACCTAGAGATCTCCACTAGCCCTGAAGTCCCAGGTGGAAGCATCACAAAACAGGCACCTGCATTGGGGAATTCTCAAGGCAGTGGCTAATCAAGGACCCCTGGGAAAAGGAGCAGTATCTGAAGACTCCAAGGGCCATAAAAGTAACCTCGGAAACCTCCCTTGATTCTTATTTTCCTCAGCCTCTTTGAGTGTGCTGTGCACTCATTAAACACTTTAACAGCATTCAGAGACATTATTTTCTTCCACTTCTGAATGAGGACCTCAAGGACAGCCCAAAAAACTAGTATTTTCTCTGGGCCCCACACTCCAGAGCCCAGTGCATTGTCACATTCTGCTTTATTCCAAGTCCTCATCTGCCCACATCTCTAGGCCTCTCTCTTCTCTGAAGGACCTCTAGAACCTGAAAAGCCTCTTCCCAGAGTCTCAAAGCACAGTGAGTTACCAATGAAGAGCCAAGGGGAGCAGACACTTATGAGTATCTAGAATTCTTGGTATTATTCCTTTTGAGTACCCCTATTTATGAGAGAGAAAACGAAGGTTTTCTTTCCCGTAGCCTCACTTTATATCACATGGGGTGGTTGGGGGAGGGCATAGCTCATTTTAGTTCCAGGTGCCCATAGAGGTGGGAGTCACAACCCCTGTCCTGTCCTCTTGAAACAGCTGGGAAGATCCCCAGGCTTGGAAGAACCCAGGGAACCTGGAGGATCCTTCATCCCATGCTGTCAGCTCCTGGTCATGTAGCTGGGGGAGTGGATGCCTCTGCCTCATGGCAAAGCTGCCTCTTCTATTTCTTCCCGTTTTGTCACTTCTCTGGTTTCCTCTTCTCTAACCTCACCTCCATGATCTCCACCTTAGAAGCCTGTGTGTGTGCGTGTGTGTGGTGTGTTTGTGTGTTCATGCCTGCACACCTATGTGAGAATAAGGAAGGGTAGAAAGCCCAGGTAGAAAGGAGAGCACAGGGTTTTCCAGGACTTAGGAGCACTCATTTCCAAAGCAAACCTGATGGGTGGGGTGCATGCAAGGCCTTGGAAGCTGGCTCCCTTCCTAATACTCTGTGCTCTTCCCAATTTCTGGGATATGGACCAGTCTTTGCTTTTTTTGGGGGCCTCAGTCTTCCTGTTGTAAAATGGATAGGTGGTCACAAAACTGCATAAACACATGCTCAGTGAAGACAGGGTGTCATGCTCAATACCAGATAGAATATTGGGATGGGGAGTGTTTGAGCAGACTTATGTGTCCACAGTAGCTCAGGCCTCTGAACAGGGCAAATGCAGGTGAACATAAAGCACGGCACAGCCAGGTTTTCTTACCAGGGCTACGGGATGAAACAGTGCACCACAGGCTCTGTTCTGGAGGCTGGTCCCGCAAGATTTTCCCTCCTTCAACCAGCAACTGTTTGATGAATTTCATGTCCTGTGAAGCCCATATCCACCCCCATTACAGTGAGGGGCACAGGGCACTAGACCTGTAAAATAATGTCTTTTGCCTTTTTTTCTTTTCTTTTCTTTTTCTTTTTCTTTATCTTTTTCTTTTAACTGAGTGGCTGTTTCTTCTTTCTCTTTTTCTGTTTTGTTTGTTTTTTAACTAATTTTTAAGAGGTCTTTACAGGTCAGCTGTGGTGTCTCACATCTGTAATTTCAACACTTGAGAGGCTGAGGCGGGCGGATCATTTGAGGTCAGGAGTTAAAAACCAGCCTGGCCAACCTGGTGAAACCCCGTCTCTACTAAAATTACAAAAAATTAGCCGGGAATGGTGGCACAAGCCTGTAGCCCCAGCTACTCAGGAGGCTGAGACAGAAGAATTGCTGAAACTTGGGAGGCAGAGGTTGCAGTGAGCCGAGATTGCACGTCTGCACTCAAGACAGGGTGACAGAGTGAGTCTCTGTGGAAAAAAAAAAAAAGAGAGAGAGAGGGAGAGAGAGAGTGCCCTTTATGGAAATGCGAGCCCATTTGTAATTTCATGAGTTGTAAATATTTATTCCAATTTGGGAATTTCTTTTCTTATTGTGGTGTTCTCTTTAAGTTTGTTTTGGATGTTATTAGTGTTTTGTTTTGCTTTGTTTCTATGTAACTTCTCCCTAAATTGATTCATAGATTTCCATTTTCACAATACAATATTTTGGCAGAAATCTTGTGGAAACTGTCTAATCAGTTTAAAAAATTTAAATACATATAAAAAATCGAAGAAATGTAAAAACTGTCCTGAAGAATAACAAAGTTTGTGAGCTTAAAATGACATATATTCAGACTTAGATTAAAGCTATAGTAATAAAAGCTATCTATGGTAGTAATGCAAAAATAGGCACAAAGAAAACTAGAAAAACTCGAGAGTCCAACTCAGACTCACACATTTGGACATTTTGTATATTACAAAACAGGCACAGAAGAGGAGTGAAGACAGTCTTCTCGGTAAATAGCCTTGAGTCAACCAGTTATTTATGTGAGAAAAAACACTCCTATCTTATATTATTAACAAATTCCAATGAAAAGTGGATTTTAAATTTTAAGGTCAAAGCTGAAAACAATATTTCTAGTAGATAACATAGATAAATATGTCCATGACTGGCACAGGCCCAGATTTCTTGGGACACAAAATGCATTAATTCTCAAGACAAAAATATGACAAATTGGACTTTATTAGAATTAAAACCTTCTCTTCATAAAAAAAAAGCTTCAGGAGAGATGAAAGGCAAGAACAAAGTGGAAATCAACATTTGTCATATATTGATGTGGCAAAAGCCTTTTATCTAGTTTATTTAACTAAATCCCATCAATTAATAAACAAAGATGCAATACATTGAACAAAAATGGCAAACATGTGACTAGGATTTCCACATACAGAACTGAAGGGCCAACAAGTAGATGAACATATCCACATCCTTATGCATCAGAACAATGCATATGAAAACTACAATTGAATACCACTATGCAATCATTCACATTTTTGAAAACTGACAAAATTAAGTACTAGTGATGATGTCAAGCAACTGGAACTTTCTTATACCATTCTGTGTGCAAACTGTTATAACGGCATTCAAAACCTCTTGAGTAGTAACTCCTTACATACACGATGTACATAAGCACACTCTAGGACCAAGCAACTCTGCTACTAGGTATATACACCCAATAGAATTGCCAGCATATTTTCCAATGCAGACAAATGCTCTAAGCAGCATTATTTGGTACTTTTCCAAACTGAAAAAAACTCAAATGTGCATCAGTAATAAAATAACTAAATAAAACAGCTACATATTCCTTTATAAGGGGACATTATACAGATATAAAATTAATTGGAGACATATTAAAATATACAAAAATCTAACAAATACAATTTAATTAGATTTAAAAGTCCTATCCACAGCAATCAGCCAATAGAAAAGAAAAAGGCATACAAATAGAAAAAAAAATTGAATTCTCTTTCTCCATTTGCATTATGAGTCACTACGTAGACAATGCTAAAGTCTTTCCAAAACTCCTTTTGGAGAAAACTTGAAAAGCCTCCTGAAATGGATAAGCAAGTAAAGTTTTAGGACACAAAACCAATGTACAAAAACCAGTAGTATTTCTATGCATCAACAACTTTGAATTCCTGAACATCTTCTGGTTTTATTGCATTTTCAATTTTTTCCCTCCATTAACTATACATTTTTTCTTTTTTCAGCTAAACTAATTTATTCTTCTGTATAATTTCACCTTGTTAATAAACCCCAGGCCAAAAAGTGGGAATAAAGTATTTGTCTGCATCCTGTTTCCTCATTTTGAAAACTAGTCTAGATGAAACCTATACTTGTTCTAGGGAGTTGGCATAGACAGCATTTATTTCCGTTCTCAGCAGTGATGCCAGCCAGAAAGAGGGAGTTCCGCATTTTCACTTTGGTTAGACAGGACTCTGGATGGTTGTAGGGGAAAAGATCCAAACTCTAAGGGAGTCAAATCAGACATTGCAAAGATTTATACATTTACTCTGGGAGCAATTATTGTGTTAAATTTTGTGCAAAACACTGCGCAAACAGCAATTAAAGTGAAAATTATTAAGGCATTACCTTTACCTTGGGAAACTCACACTAGTCAGATTCTCCGAACCCCAGAACATAACAACAACCTAGTAAAATCTTGTTCAGAGTGAAGAGAGGGTGGGAGCAGGAAGGTAAGGTTAAAAATTAGGCTGGGTGAATGAGATAATTACCCCTAGTCAAGCAGTGGAAGTATGGATGGCTTTGGGATGGGTGAAGACAAAAGAATCTCAGCAGAGGGTGCAGATAAAAAAAGGCAGAAACACAGGAGGCTTATGCAGGAAGAGGAATGAGTTTGCTGGACTGGGGAGAGTGACAGTAAAAAGCAGAGGATAATAGGCATCTCTGGTCATCTAGGGACTATAGGGTGGATTAGTTGGGGGTTACAGAATCAGTGAGGTACTTTTTAACAGTAGGATGGGTAAATAAGAGCTATAATTTGGAATAATTATGTAGCAATGGTGGTTAGGAGCAATAGAAACTCAAAGTATTACATAAATATTTTTTTTCTTATTCTCCCACACAAGCGTTTTGCCTTTCCTCTTAAACTGAGAACGGAGTGGTTTGCTATGATGTTTTTAAATTCTCATAGACAAGCATTATTCTTTGCTGCCTTTTAGTAAAGGTTAGTTTTAACCAAATTAAAGAAGATTGAATGGATTTTCTTGCTCATAATGGTTGAGTGCAATATCTCATACCTTCTATTAGTTTTCAGTATAACTGAAATAACAGAGTGTCAATACTCCATGGAGGGGTGCTCCGCTTGCTAAGTCTCCCTCCTCTGGGCTTGGCCTTCTACACCATGGCTGTCCTGCTCTGGCTGGAGCTGGAATTTGGATTGACCTCTGTGTGTCTTCCTAGCACACAATAGGTGTCCAATTAGCATGGGCAGAATCAAGCTCCTCCCTCTCACCATTTATTTCTCCATTTGTCCCTTGTTGGGAATGGAGAGTCCTGCCACTGAGTTCAGCCCAGGGTTGAAGTTCAAATCTCAGCTGATACTTGGTGGATGTTGACTTTTTTGAGAAGAACTTGGGAGAATAAAACATTATAAAGGCGCTGGCCAGGCACGGTGTCTCATGCCTGTATTCCTGGCATATTGATTGGCTGAGGAGACAGAATTGCTTGAGGGCAGGAATTTGATACCAGCCTTGTCAACATAGTGAGACCCCATTTATACAAAAAACTTGAAGCATTAAAAACATTTAGCCAGGTGTGATAGTTCCAAACTGTTGTCTCAGCTATGCTGGATATTGAGGCAGAGGATCACTTGAGCCAGGAGTTCTAGGCTGCGGTGAACTATGATCACGCTACTGCACTCCAAACAGGCAACCACGCAAGATGATTCAAAAATAAAATCTTTTATTATTCTTCACCCCTATAGTCTCTCCAGAACTTGTGCACTATGTAGCAGAAAGAATCAAACTCCCCAAGAGTTTGGTTCTTGCTCATGATTTGGTTTTCTGCTGCTTGGCTGCCCCGTCATGTCCCCATTTTGTATAAAATAAGAACCCCCCAGTGAAGTGGAGTTTCTCCCCAGCAGAGGGTCTCACCAAGGCCCCAAGACTGGCACTTTAGGTGGAGGCTTGCCTTTCAGCCTCTGAATAATAATTGATACTAAAATTGAGAAGTTTTCCAGACACCAGCTTCCTGAAAGGAGCATCCAGTCAGAAGACAAGATGAGGTCAGTAGCGAAGGTGACTCAGGCTGAATGGGGAAGTCCACCAGCGTATCTGAAGACTGAGCTAGGGGAGGGTTTCCCTAATGTTCACTCCTTCTGCCCTCCATATATTCCTCTACTTTTCCCAAACTTCCCTCTGACATCCTCCAAACTTTCTATCTTCCCAGGGCTTTCTTGCCAGGGAGTCTAAAGAAGTAAAAGCTTTAAAATTGCTTTGATTTTAAAAATAATTTTATTGATTCTTAAAATGTACCGACACAAAATTAGAATACCAATTCTTAAAATGCTTAAAAAGTAAATTAAGTGTAAGTTTACATTTAATTATCTTATTTGATTCCTAACTAAAATACAAAAAAATTTTTTTTGAAACAAGGTCTTGCTCTGTCACCCAGACTGGAGTGCAGTGGTGAGATCTTGGGTTATTGCAACCTCCACCCTCTAGGTTCAAGCGATTCTCATGCGTCAGCCTCCCAAGTAGCTGGGACTACAAGCACACACCACCAATTGGCTAATTTTTGTGTTTTTAGTAGATATGAGGTTTTGCCATGGTGCCCATAGTGGTCGCAAACTCCTCGTCTCAAGTGATTCACCCACCTCGGCCTCCCAAAATGCTGGGATTACAGGTTTGAGTCAACACACCTGACCTTAATTTTTTTTTTTAAATTATAGGTAAATTTAAATTACTCAGAAATAGTCAGAATTAACCATTGGATACCCTGAATCTTTTTCCCATGCATAAGCCTTTCTAATCTTTCTATTCAAATTTAGGATTTGATTCGGCTCTAGTGTTTTAAAACCTGCTTTTTTCCTTCAAAGAAATGCAGACCATCTCTCAGGCCAATGGACATCACGGATTTTCTGATGCTTAGAGGCTGACTGGTTGTTTATCTATGACCTCCCATAATGTACTTAAGTAACACCCTCTTGATGATGGGGTTAAGTTGTTGAAATTACCTTGTCTTTTCTGAAGCACTACGTGGAAAATATTAGATCTTGAAAGAAACACATAAACCCATACCACACACTTCCTTTGAAATTCTCTGCTGCTTATTTAAAGAGATGTTTATTCCTGACTAAGGTCCTACATTACACTCTCTGTAGAACTTTTGGAAACTATAAAAGTACAAGAGAATCAATAAAGCAATTTAATTTCTCACAGGATCCTGTTTCCTATAAGAAACACATCAATTCCTATAATTCGGCATATTTCCTCTCAATCATTTTTCTACACATTTTAAATTTTGGGTTCTAATGTATAAGTTTGGTTATACTTTTTAATGTATGCCTTTCATTAATATGTTTAATGGTATATCATCTCATAAGCACTTCTCCATGTGATAAAAAATTCTTTGTACATCCCATTTTTAATACATATATGTAGCTCCAAAGAAAAAGCATATCTTGTTTACTCTTCTAATCCTGTAGTATTTGAAAACTTTGTTTTTCCAATTCTTTGAGATAATAAACTGGTTAGGGTTAGTATTTTGGTCCCCATTTAAATTTTCTAAGAGTTGCCTTTCTATAAGTGGCTAAGTGACTGTTACAAGGAGAAGAGCCCTCCTGAAGGGGTGTGCCATGGGGTTGAGGCCTCCCTGCAAAGTGCCTTCCTTGTGGCAGATCCCCATGTGTCTTTCTAAAATCAGCACAGTCAGACTGAGCGTGATTGGAATTCTGCAGCTGTGACCCCTCTCGAATCTTCCTTCAATTCAGATGCAACTAATCTCCTCCTTGGTGGACACCAGGAAGTAGGCTGTAGAGCATTCTGTGACCCTGAAGAATGACACGATGTTCTTGATGAAGAGGGTGGATATTCCTGAAGGAGAAATAATGTTTTCTCAACAGCAGAAGCAGATATCAAGTTTATTCAATGACTGGGTCATGGAAAATCCTGTTCTCTACAGGTTGATGCTACATTCCAGGCAAACCCACACCCTCGGTGTATGCCAGAGGCTTCAGAAACACAAAGGAGCTCATACGAGATGAGTGCCAGGTAGCTATGAAGCCTCAAGAACTTCCACTGCAACAGAAGATAATAACTTACTCTGAAGAATTGTTTGCATCTCCCTGCCCATCCCCTGGCTACTGAGTGCAACCATGCAACTCATTGCATGCAACTATAAATATAGCTACAACTATGAAAATAGCTGAGATTCTAAACCACAAATACAGACAACTACGAATATAGGTGAGACAAAAAACTGTAAACCTTCTTAAGGGTGTACAACATGTAACAACGGCTCCCATTAGCTCATGTTTAGATACCAAGGAAATAATAGCAGGAATGTTTTATGTTCACATTCCAAACAAAACCTATTATCATTCATCGTCAGTTCATTTAGTCCTGTTTTACTCATACTTGTTTTACTCTATCTTGTAAGCACATATGCTTCTCTGCTAGAATTAGAGAAATAAATTAGTCCACTGATAGTGTTTCAAAGTTATATAAGTCATTCTATCAGAAGCCTGTTTATAGGAGTACTTGGCACAGATATTTCTGTGGGTCTCTGAGACATTCTTATTTTGTTGAAGACAAAGCCCTGTGGCCTGGAACTGATTTGCAAGCACTTTTAGAAAAATAGCCGAGTACAACCAAAAGTATATACTAATGAAAAAGTAAGCCATGCTTTCAGGTATGTAGTTAGTTGATACACTAAAATATTCTTTTATATAATGCAAACAGCACTAACACTTTAAAAAATAGAATTATATCATGCACAGTGAGGGCACTGGAAATTTTTTAAAAAACTTTCATTTCTGGATTATTTACATTAATAACAATTATGTAAAAAATTTAACCTAGGGGAAGCTAAGCATATGTCTTCTTATTTAATATAACAAGATGCAAAATAGGCAAGTTTCCATATATGATAGTAGGACATAAAGTGTGCTGATACAAATATGAAACATAAAATATAAGTAAGAAATAGAAAAAATGACCTGTGTATGTTGATTATTTATATGTGTGTTTATTACTATTTTTAGTAGCTTAGATTATGTAAATATGTATTATATTTTAGGCAGCAGCAAATATTAACATATTTTTTAACGTGCAGCTTAGATAAGAATTGATGATTACAATTTATTAATATTAGCTACTTACGACAAACATTATGCAAAAAGAAATTCTAAAAATAATTTTGTATTAACTTTGAAAATTTTAAACTCTTTTCTACAGAAGTTTTTTAATTACAGACAATAAAATAGAAAGTTTATAAAAAAGAAAATGCTACTGAGAAATAGTTGGATTTTGATTCATTATTTTTTCTGAATATTAGTACTTGGAGCTTCACTGTTAATAATGCCAATAGGCTACACAAATTTTCTCTTCAGTAAAATGGCAAAACAGAAGGCATTCAATTTTTAAATATACGATGCAATTTTATTACCGTTTTTCTATATAAAAGACACAAAATTTAGACCAATAAAAACAGAATTTCTTCCATGAAATTTCAAGAGCTGAGCTGAGCTGGGAAGAGCTAACCTGCTTAATATCAGAGTTTTAAATTAAAGCAAGAGGCCCACATCAAAGAAATAGTTACGCCTTTTTGTCTTCCTTTCTGTGATTGTGTTAAACAACAGGCAACATTAGATCAAGCACCGACTCCTAATTGTTCCATTTTTTCCTCATGGAAAAGCACCAGGAAAGGGTCAGATGGATCAGCACAAACATGGGGCACTGTCTCACTGCCGAGGTGGCACCCTCATAAAAAACAGGCCCGCAATTTTGTGGAAAAGGGGGCAGGAGAGCGTAGAGGAGAATGTATGAGCAAGATTAAAGAGAATTGAATATTAATAGGAATGTATGAAAATTATTATCAAAGTTCCATTTCTTCTCCAGAAACAGGGATCTGAACAAAAGTTTCTGAAGAAGGCCTCAACCAAAAGCCCCTCAGTTAGGTGCCCCTGAATCTAGATGCCTGGACTGGGAATGAAAATCTACATGTGAGCCTCAGTGGCCAAGATTTCCGGTATTGTTTATTTCAACCCCTCAGAGACTGCAATACACTGACATTTACATGCTTCTCCTAAATGCACATGTCAGCAGCAGTGTGACAACCAATGCTTTCAAAGATATAATGTGGGTATCAGAGTTTCTGGCAAAAATTTAGATAATCTTATCTTTTCAACCTCAAATAACAATATATGCTGAGAAACTTCAAAGGCATGCACCTCCACAAATAATTTTTCAGGAAAGGATAAAGAAGCACAGCTGTAGGAGAAAAATTAGGCTGGAAGTTGATGTTATCTGTGGGAATTGCTAATAATGGAAGCACAGTTTGTTAGAATTTAACATGTCTGATTGGTGAATATAATGTCACAGCAGCATAGATGCAGGAGTACTTGGATCTGACTATGCTATCTAAAGCTAGAATCCTTACATTTTCAAAAGTTTAGAAAAATAGGTTAGTTAGTGGAGGTGGTATTTCTCCTCTTTGGTTGATTTGGGAATTAACACCAATCATCATATGAGTTTCTGGTTCATATGTACACTATGTGTTTTACTCAGGACAATTTAGGTAAATATATAGACTTAATCATTTTCAGGTGTCTGTAAAGGGTGCATTATTAACATTACAGATAACTTTTCATTGGAATAAAATACCTCGACCCAGAATCTTCTATGGCCCCATCAATTGAGGTCAGTCATTTATAATAAAATGAAGTCTACTATTCTTTTTAAAATATACAAAGTAAAAGTCATCAAGATCAAAGTTATTAAGAAATAAAATTATAAGAAAAACACAGCTGTACCATTACATCTTAATAAATCCCAAAATTGTATATATACTGTAGAAATAATATAAGTAGTTATAATGTTTAAATATATTAGAGGAAATTTTAAAAGTAAGATCAAAATAAGGTATATTATCAAAATAATTAGGTAAAAATTTTAAATTTAAAGGATAGAATACATAGAAAAATTACATAATTGAAAAAGAAATTATGAATTAGAAGATATGATGAAGTGAATATTTAGAAGTCCCAATAGGGATAAAACAAATAAACAATATGAAAAATTAAAATACATAAAAATCTAGAATAAGTCATGTTGTTTAAGTGCAAGTTTGAATAAATAAAATGGAGTGAATGTCAAATAGGGAATAAAAATATATAATTATTAAAATAATTAATTATAATAGCTTAAAGGCATTCTGATCAAAAGAAAAACAATAGTTAAAAGCATAATACCATAATAGAGAAAATCACGTAAAGCTATCTAAGATAAAATTCAAATTAATTATAAAGCAATGAAAAGAAACACATTTCTCAATATGTGAATAAGATCAAGAATCCAATAGGTTACGGTTTTAAAAGTTCTGAGGGAAAAACATGTAAATTTAAAATTACATATATTTGAAAAGTTATTTTCAGGTTTAAGGACAAAATGTAACTTAATACACAAATACAATGTAAACAGTATAATTATGTCAGTGAAATGCATTTAAAATTTGCTGAAAATTTAGTTTATGAAGAAAAATACTCTTCCTGAGAACAAACATTGAGATAAAATAAATGTGCAAACATCTAAATAGATGGAAACTATGTTAACACTGTGTGAAATTATACACAATATGTGATATATCCATGTGAAGCATATTTATGGAAGCATAAAAGAAAATGTTATCCCAAGGGTTATATTAAATAAAAGAGTAAATTTGGTAATAGATGAATAACTTATTTTATATCAGTATAATGTGTATTTAAGAGGTTTTTGTCACTAAATTATTAAATATTGAGTGCAAATCCTATATACTGTTTGAACAATACTATTATTTTCTCAGCAAAGATCAGCACTGAAAGACTGACTCCTGCATAGCCACTGACCACAGCTTCTGGAACAACAAAAGCATTGAATCATTAATCCTGAATGTGGCCAATGAGCAAGAGATGAGGAAATCTACCCAGTTCATGACCACAAAGCAACTCACCAGCAGCTGGATGGCCTGGGTAGCTTATTTCTCTGGAGAGACTCTTAGACAGTGACTCCTGATACAGAGATGCTGAGACTGCATTTTGTGCCTGGAGGAGAGAATTACCACGTGTGATTTGAGAGCATCAGTGTTCCTCCAGAAGAGACATTTCTAAATGCTGCTAGTGTGAAAAATGAGCTTATGTTCACGTAGCCCCTGGGGGAAGAAAAACAGTAATATTTAACAGTACATTTTAAGAACCAATAAAATTATTTTTAAAATCAAAGCAATTTTAAAGCTTTTACTTCACTAGACTCCCTGGCAAGAAAGTCCTGGGAAGACAGAAAGTTTGGAGGATGTCAGAGGGAAGTTTGGGAAAAGTAGAGGAATGTACGGCCCACTCAGCCTGAGTCACCTTCGCTACTGACCTCATCTTGTCTCGACTGAGTGCTCCTTTCAGGAAGCTGGTGTCTGGAAAACTTCTCAATTTTAGTATCAATTATTATTCAGAGGTTGAAAGGCAAGCCTCCACCTAAAGTGCCAGTCCTGGGGCCTTGGTGAGACCCTCTGCTGGGGAGAAACTCCACTTCACCTGGGGGTTCTTATTTATACAAAATGGGGACATGACGGGGCAGCCAAGCAGCAGAAAACCGAATCATAAGCAAGAACCAAACTCTTGGGGAGTTTGATTCTTTCTGCTACATAGTGCACAAGTTCTGGAGAGACTATAGGGGTGAAGAATAATAAAAGATTTTATTTTTGAAACATCTTGCGTGGTTGCCCTGGTTGGAGTGCAGCAGCACGATCATAGCTCCCTGTAGCCTAGAACTCCTGGCTCAAGTGATCCTCTGCCTCAATGTCCAGCATAGCTGAGACAAGTTTGGAACTATCACACCTGGCTAAATTTTTTTAATGCTTCAAGTTTTTTGTATAAATGGGGTCTCACTATGTTGACAAGGCTGGTATCAAATTCCTGGCCTCAAGCAATTCTATCTCCTCAGCCAATCAATATGCCAGGAATACAGGCATGAGACACCGTGCCTGGCCAGCGCCTTTATAATGTTTTATTCTCCCAAGTTCTTCTCAAAAAAGTCAACATCCACCAAGTATCAGCTGAGATTTGAACTTCAACCCTGGGCTGAACTCAGTGGCAGGACTGTCCGTCCATTCCCAACAAGGGACAAATGGAGAAATAAATGGTGAGAGGGAGGAGCTTGATTCTGCCCATGCTAATTGGACACCTATTGTGTGCTAGGAAGACACACAGAGGTCAATCCAAATTCCAGCTCCAGCCAGAGCAGGACAGCCATGGTGTAGAAGGCCAAGCCCAGAGGAGGGAGACTTAGCAAGCGGAGCACCCCTCCATGGAGTATTGACACTCTGTTACTTCAGTTATACTGAAAACTAGTAGAAGGTATGAGATGTTGCACTCAACCATTATGAGCAAGAAAATCCATTCAATCTTCTTTAATTTGGTTAAAACTAACCTTTACTAAAAGGCAGCAAAGAATAATGCTTGCCTGTGAGAATTTACAAACATCATAGCAAACCACTCCGTTCTCAGTTTAAGAGGGAAGGCGAAAGGCTTGTGTGGGAGAATAAGAAAAAAACATATTTATGTAATACTTTGAGTTTCTATTGCTCCTAACCACCATTGCTACATAATTATTCCAAAATATAGCTCTTATTTATCCATCCTACTGTTCAAAAGTACCTCACTGATTCTGTAACCCCCAACTAATCCACCCTATAGTCCCTAGATGACCACAGAGGCCTATTATCCTCTGCTTTTTACTGTCACTCTCCCCAGTCCAGCAAACTCATTCCTCTTTCTGCATAAGCCTCCTGTGTTTCTGCCCTTTTTTATCTGCACCCTCTGCTGAGATTCTTTTGTCTTCACCCATCCCAAAGCCATCCATACTTCCACTACTTGACTAGGGGTAATTATCTCATTCACCCAGCCTAAATTTTAAACTTACCTTCCTGAACAAGATTTTACTATGTTGCTGTTCACCCTCTCTTCACTCTGAACAAGATTTTACTAGTTGCTGTTAATTTCTGGGGTTCGGAGAATCTGACTAGTGTGAGTTTCCCAAGGTACAGGTAATGCCTTAATAATTTTCACTTTAATTGCTCTTTGCGCAGTGTTTTGCACAAAATTTAACACAATAATTGCTCCCGGAGTAAACGCATAAATCTTTGCAATGTCCTATTTGGCTCCCTTAGAGTGTGGAACTTTTCCCCTACAACCATCCAGAGTCCTGTCTAACCAAAGTGAAAATGGGGAACTCCGTCTTCTGGCTGGCATCACTGCTGAGAACGGAAATAAATGCTGTCTATGGCAACTCCCTAGAACAAATATAGATTTCATCTAGGCTAGTTTTCAAAATGAGGAAACAGGATGCAGACAAATACTTTATTCTCACATTTTGGCCTGGGGTTTATTAACAAAGTGAAATTATACAGAAGAATAAATTAGTTTAGCTGAAAAAAGAAAAAAATGTATAGTTAACTGAGGGAAGAAATTGAAAATGCAATAAAACCAGAAGATGTTCAGGAATTCAAAGTTGTTGATGCATAGAAATGCTACTGATTTTTGTACATTGGTTTTGTGTCCTAGAACTTTACTTGCTTATCCATTTCAGGAGGCTTTTCAAGTTTTCCCCAAAAGTAATTTTGGAGAGGCTTTAGCATTCTCTATGTAGTGACTCATATTGCAAATGGAGAAAGAGAATTCAATTTTTTTTTCTATTTGTATGCCTTTTTCTTTTCTATTGGCTGATTGCTGTGGATAGGACTTTTAAATCTAATTAAATTGTGTTTGTTAGACTTTTGTATATTTTAATATGTCTCCAATTAATTTTATATCTGTATAATGTCCCCTTATAAAGGAATATGTAGCTGTTTTAATTATTTATTTTATTATTGATGCACATTTCAGTTTTTTTCAGTTTGGAAAAGTACCAAATAATGCTGCTTCGAGCACTTTACTACATTGGAAAATATGCTGGCAATTCTATTGGGTGTATATACCTAGTAGCAGAGTTGCTGGGTTCTAGAGTGTGCTTACGTACATCGTGTATGTAAGGAGATACTACTGAAGTGGTTTTGAATGTGGTTATAACAGTTTACACAGAGAATGGTATAAGAAAGTTCCAGTTGCTTGACATCATCACTAGTACTTAATTTTGTCAGTTTTCAAAAATGTTAATGATTGCATAGTGGTATTCACTTGTAGTTTTAATATGCATTGTTCTGATGCATAAGGATGTGGATGTGTTCATCTACTTGTTGGCCCTTCGGTTCTGTATGTGGAACTCCTAGTCATATCTTTGCCAATTTTGTTCAATGTATGTATCTTTGTTTATTAAGTGATGGGATTTAGCTTAATAATCTAGATAAAAAGCTTTTGCCACATCAATATATGACAAATGTTGATTTCCACTTTGTTCTTGCCTTTCAGCTCTCCTGAAGCTTTTTTTTTTTTGAAGAGAAGGTTTTAATTCTAATAAAGTCCAATTTGTCATATTTTTGTCTTGATAATTTATGCATTTTGTGTCCCAAGAAATCTTGGCCTGTGCCAAAGTCATGGACATATTTATCTATGTTATCTACTAGAAATATTGTTTTCAATTTTCACCTTAAAATTTAAAATCCACTTGTCTCAAAATTTGTTAACAATATAAGATAGGTTTATTTCTTTCTCACATAAATAACCAGTTGACCCAAGGCTAATTACCGAGATGCTGTCTTCTCTCCACTGCTCTTCTGTGCCTGTTTTGTAATGTACAAAATGTCTAAATGTGTGAGTCTGAGTTGGACTCTCGAGTTTTTCTAGTTTTCTTTGTGCCTATTTTTGCATTACTACCATAGATAGCTTTTATTACTATAGCTTTAATCTAAGTCTGAATATATGGCATTGTAAGCTCACAAACTTTGTCATTCTTCAGGACAGTTTTTACAGTTCTTTGATTTTTTTTATATGTATTTAAATTTTTAAACTGATTAGACAGTTTCCACAAGATTTCTGGCAAAATATTGTATTGTGAAAATGGAAATCTATAAATCAATTTAGGGAGAAGTTACATAGAAACAAAGCAAAAGAAAACACTAATAACATCCAAACCAAACTTAAAGAGAACACCACAATAAGAAAAGAAATTCCAAAATTGGGATAAATATTTTCAACACATGAAATTACAAAGGGGCTCACGTTTCCATAAAGAGCACTCTCTCTCTCCCTCTCTCTCTCTTTTTTTTTTTTTTTTTTTTTTTTACAGAGACTCACTCTGTCACCCAGTCTGGAGTGCAGTCGTGCAATCTCGGCTCACTGCAACCTCCGCCTCCCAAGTTCCAGCAATTCTTCTGTCTCAGCCTCCTGAGTAGCTGTGGCTACAGGCTTGGGCCACCATTCCCGGCTAATTTTTTTGTAAGTTTAGTAGAGACGGATTTTCACCAGGTTCACCAGGCTGGTTTTGAACTCCTGACCTCAAATAATCCACCTGCCTCATCCTCCCAAAGTGTTGAAATTATAGGTGCGAGGTACCACAGCTGACCTGTAAAGACCTCTTAAAAATTAGTTAAAAAACAAA
Source organism: Homo sapiens (assembly GCF_000001405.40). Lineage (NCBI taxonomy): Eukaryota > Metazoa > Chordata > Mammalia > Primates > Hominidae > Homo > Homo sapiens. Next base: position 159,067 of record NT_113930.2, on the reverse strand, counting down.
CAAAACAGAAAAAGAGAAAGAAGAAACATCCACTCAGTTAAAAAAAAAAAAGAAAAGAAAAGAAAAGAAAAAAAGGCAAAAGACATTATTTTACAGGTCTAGTGCCCTGTGCCCCTCACTGTAATGGGGGTGGATATGGGCTTCACAGGACATGAAATTCATCAAACAGTTGCTGGTTGAAGGAGGGAAAATCTTGCGGGACCTACCTCAAGAGCAGATCCTGTGGTGCACTGTTTCTTCCTGTAGCCCTGGTAAGAAAACCTGGCTGTGCCGTGCTTTATGTTCACCTGCATTGGCCCTGTTCAGAGGCCTGAGCACGCGTGGACACCTAAGTCTGCTCAAACTTTCCCCATCCCAATATTCTCTGTGGTATTGAGCATGACACCCTGTCTTCACTGAGCATGTGCTCATACAGTTTTGTAGCCAACTCTTCATTTTACAACAGGAAGACTGAGAACCCCAAAAAAGGCAAAGACTGGTTCAGATCCCAGAAATTGGGCAGAGCACAGAGTATTAGGGAGGGATCCAGCTTCCTAGGCCTTGCATGCACCCCACCCATCAGGTTTGCTTTGGAAATGAGAGCCCATGAGTCCTGGAAAACCCTGTGCTCTACTTTCTACCTGGGCTTTCTACTCTTCAATGTTGTCACGTAGGCGTGCAGGCATGCACACACAAACACGTCACACACACACACACACACACAGGCTTCTAAAGTGGAGATCTAAAGTGGAGATTCTAAAGTGAGGCTATGGAAGAGGAAACCAAAGAAGTGACAAAAGGGGAAGAAACAGTAGATGCAGCTTTGCCATGAGGCAGAGGCATCCACTCCCCCAGCTACATGACCAGGAGCTGACAGCATGGGATGAAGGATCCTCCAGGTTCCCTGGGTTCTTCCAAGCCTGGGGACCTTCCCAGCTGTTTCAAAAGGACAGGACTGGGGTTGTGACTCCCACTTCTGTGGGCACCTGGAACTAAAATGAGCTATGCCCTCCACCCACTACCCCGTGTGATATAAAGAGAGGCTACCACAAAGAAAGCCTTTGTTTTCTCCCTCATAAATAGGGGTACTCAGAAGGAATAATACCAAGGATTCTAGATACTCATAGGTGTCTGCTGCCCTTGGCTTTTCATTGGTAACTCACTGTGCTTTGAGACTCTGGGAAGAGGCTTTTCAGTTTCTAGAGGTCCTTCAGAGAAGAGAGAGGCCTAGAGACTTGGGCGGATGAGGACTTGGAATAAAGCAGAATGTGACAATGCACTGGGCTCTGGAGTGTGGGGCCCAGAAAAAATACTAGTTTTTTGGGTTGTCCTTGAGGTCCTCATTCGGAAGTGGAAGAAAATAATGTCGCCGAATGCTGTTAAAATGTTTAATGAGTGCACAGCACACTCAAAGAGGCTGAGGAAAATAGGAATCAAGGGAGGCTTCCGAGGTCACTTTTATGGCCCTTGGAGCCTTCAGATACTGCTCCTTTTCCCAGGGGTCCCTGAAGAGCCACTGCCTTGAGAATTCCCCAGTGCAGGTGCCTGTTTTGTGATGCTTCTGCCTGGGACTACAGTGCTAGCGGAGGTCTCTAGGTGGCGGCAGACCACGTGTTTCTTGTGCCCGCTGGACTTGACTGGAGTAGCTGGAGCCGTGGGAGAGACAGGCTGAGGGCCTGCAGCTCCTGTTATCATTCTTGATCTCCACATTATTGGGTGACCGAAAGCAGGAAGGACTTTGTGATTTTCCATGTTATTTTACTCAGCGACTCTTCCCCTAGCACTCACCCTGTGGCAGCTACCTTGGTAGGTTCACCATGTGGTACCAAAAACGATTATGTTATCCCTGCCTCCCCGCGGGGAGCCCACAGTCTGAGGACTGCAGGACAAAAACACTAAAGCAAGTACATGCGAAAGAAAAGAGCATTTTATAATGGAAATAAAGTAGAATGTTTGGAGGGAGGGCTGGGGAGAGGTTGCCTGCAGGGGACATGAATACCTCACTGAGCTGACATTATGTTGTGACCAGAATGACAACTGCGCAGGTGTGGAAAGTGTGTCAGGGAAAAGCCACTCTTTGTGAAAAGACTCAGAGGCACAAGTCAGTTTAGCAGAGGAGGTTATAAAGGGACAAGTGTGGCTGTAGGCAGCCTGAGAAAGAAAGGAAAAGAGGGGAGGGTGTATCCTGGGGTCTGAAAGAGGAGGTTAGTCATTTGCCCATCTCTGACAACATTGCCCTGAATTTTAGCACATTTTGACAACAAATACTATCTCACAATTTTTGTGAACCAGAATCTCGATATAGCTTAGTTGGGTGCCTCTGCCTCAAGGTCCCTTATGAGGCTGGGGCTGTGATTTCAACTGAAGCTGGATTTGGGGAGAGATCAGCCTCCAATCTGCCTCATGGAAATTGGCAAGATTCAATGTGAACTGAGAACCCCAGTTTCTTCCTGTTGATTGGCCTGGGCAGTTCCTCAGTTCTCTATCATGTGGGTCTGTGCCTAGAGCATCTTAGGACACTGGAGATCGCTTCCTCATCTTGAAGAATACAATAGAGAGATGGAAAATGAAAGAGATAGACAGACATATGCACAGAAAAAGAGAAAGGGAGACAGAGAGATTGAGAGATGAAACACAGGACAGAGCAAGAGGGAGGAAAATAATAGCTATTTTAGAAATATAACTTTGGAAGTTGCAGTAGACTATGTGATTCCCCACCATATTCACATTCCAGAACATTAATTCCCAGTGTAATGGCCTTAGCAGGTCAGAGGTAATTAAGTCCTAAGCATGAGGCCCTCGTGATAGAGATTACTGGCTTTGTAAAAGAAACCGCAGAAAGCTGTCTGTCCCTCTCTCTGCTAAATGAGAATACAACCTGAAGTCTGGAGTTTGAAACTCAGAAGAGAGTCCTTACCAGACCCCAACCATGCTGGAAGCCAATCTCAAATTTCTAGCCTCCAGAACTAAAGTCTTTTGTTTATAAGTTGCCTAGTCTATGTTTTTTGGTATAGAAGTCTGAACTAAGTCAGAAGTGATAACCTATCACATTTGTTGTTTTCTCTTTGACAGAAACTAGAACCAGGTCCCCAAAGAGTTCAACCAATGACTAGCAGAAATTCTTCAGTTTGCAGAATGACAGATAAGAAAAGATAGAACTTGTTGAAAGCATGAAATTTATTCTACTTATGAGACTTCTAAAAAGTGGCTAAAATTGGTCGGAACCAATATGGTCAACTGGAATCTGTGTGAAATAAGCTCACTGATGTCAGAGCCCAAATTTCCATCACATGTTTTGTACTAACTGTCCCCAAATTTGCACATGACCTGTGTGTAGCAAGAAAAGATGGCTGTTCATGCCCAGTGACTTTCCATACATTTTTCCTTTCAGCAATTCCCTGCTAAACAAGAAGCCACCTCTTAAACCTTTCTGAGAATATTACTACCTTTAAGTAAGCACAGGGAAAGAGGCTTCAGCTGGAATCCAATGCCTTTGTTGGAAACCCGGTGTTATAGTACCGGCTTCTGAGGCACTGAGAGGTGAGCTGCGTTTTAAAATAACAGAGTCACTCACAACTTAGTGTTGTTGTGAGACTTTGTTGGGGGCGCCCACCACATAGGCTGAGATGAGGCATATACATGTGATTCCAAATATAATGCACAGCACTGGAATATTTAATGCCAGAATACAGTATCTGATTTTCTTTTGATTTCAACCTCTTCTGCTGTAGAATGGAAAAATAAGGCCATATATATAAAATATATATCTTTTATGTATACAGATATATGAAATATATATCTTTTATACATAAAGGTGTATATGTATAAGTTTATATATTATATATAATATATAAATATAAATTATATATACATAGTATATATTTTTTTTGAGACACAGTCTCGCTCTGTCACCCAGGCTGGAGTGCAGAGGCATGATCAAGGCTCAATGTAATCTCTGCTTCCTTGGCTCAGGTGATTCTTACACCTCAGCCTCCTGAGTGGCTGGGATTACAGGCAAGCATCAACACATCTGGCTAATTTTTGCATTTTCAGTGGAGAAGGGTTTTTGCCATGCTGGCCATGGCTGGTTTCAAACCCCTGGCCTTAAGTGTTCCACCCGTCTTGGTCTACCAATCTGCTAAGATTACAAGCAAGAGCAACTACATCCCACTGATTTTGATTCATTCTATCTCATATATCGCCAATGACTCTTTCTGGAAGTTGATGCTAGCCTAATCCCATTATGCATACTTCAGGGCTGGGGAGAACTGAAGCGCACAGTCATTTTCATATGGTCACAGAAATGAAAAGGAAAAGAAGATTTTAATCCAACTCTCTTCTCTCAAACCTGGGGCCCTGGCTGTATTTAGATCTTTATGGGGAGTAAGAGGCATAATTGTGTTTGCATAACTGTTTACAGGAAAAGAGTTGACATGGGAGAGGAGGGTGAGCAATCAGCAGCCCAGCAGGGACTTTGCATAGATTTATGGAGGAAAAGGGCTCAGGGGATAAAACCTTGAAGAAGTTAACAGACTTCCCTTGTGACAGAACCTAACAGAATTTAGAACTTTGGAACCAGAAACCCACATTCTAGAGACAGCCCTCTATCTAGCTAATTTCATGGGAGATGCTTGAGAGAGCACTGTGTTCTCATTGTGTGCTATATTCCTAAGCTGTTGCCTGAGAAAGGTTCAAAGTGAGAGCCTTTTCTGACCATATACATATTGGCTCAGCCTACATCCTTGATACCACTGGCCATTCAACAAGAGGCAAACACAGGTAACACAGTGAAGCCTAGGTCAGGTCCGTCCATGCCAGCCCACCCGTGTCATCTAATCTGGGCAATCCGACCCTGTCTACCATTACCATGTGTTGCAGGGGGAGCAGGAAAGGAGGGGGCTCTTTCTCACAGGGGCAGGCTGTAAGGCATTGGAACCCTGGCGGGTATGTCATGTTCATACCCAGGTCATGGCTGGTGGAATAAAAAGTTGAGCATTGTGGACCAAGTGTGTCTACTCAGATGTGAATCCCAAGGCCTTAAGCTGTCCTCGGGTTTCCTCATTGGCTGGGGGTCTATGCAGATACTCCTATGTTCCTGATCTAGGAAACAGAATTTCTAATGGAGATGTTACCTGGTGGTAAAAACAAAGGAGATAATTAATTTTTTTTCTTTTTTCTTTTTTTTTTTCTGCTTCGCTGCTGGGAACACTCTTTGTAGAGTTTCATTAAAATCATTGAGCAGGTATTTGATGGGTTCAAGTCCCCCAACTCCTTGGACAACTGGCAGGTTCACCACACCCCTAAGCATGGCATACAGTGAGTTATGGTGAGAGCAGGCACATGGGGATCTCTACAGACAGGGGTCTGACAAAACCAGGATGGGCCCAGGATCCAGACCCAAATATGGAATTTCTCTGCGCTTTCTCTTAGGGGATTTCCATGAGTGACCCAAAGATCTGCCTCCCAAAAATCTAGCCTTAACTAGTCCCAAAGGCAACTTGGTTAAGTGTAAAGTCCCTTTTTACATTCTTGTAGAAATATCAGAGAAGACCTTTGTGTTGTTTTTACTTTACACTAGGCTGTATTTATTCATGTTACTACAGTTGGTATGGTTTTAATTATTCCCCCTGGTATCACCTGTAGCAGGCAGCTTCACGGCACTGCCAGACCTTCCCCAAGACTTCAAAGCCACCACTAGCATTAATACTCTAGAAAAATAGGGAAGAGTTTACACGAAAAGGGGGTTATACTGTTCCCTGCATTTGTGTGCAATGTGTCATCTCAGAGAACACATCCCTCTAGCCCATCAGGGCAGAAGTGGTGCCCTCACATATCTTTGTAATGTTCTATAATGGGGGTCACTTCCCAGAGTGGTTTAGCCTTTCAGTGACTATTATTTCTGATCAAAATGGAATAAAACTAGAAATGAATAACAGAAGAAAACAAAAATAGCAACATATATATGGAAATTAAACAACTCACTTTTGAGCATGCTCATGTTTAAGGGTTGTAAGACTTGATATTATGAAGAATGCTCATGATGCCTAAAGCGAGTTACAGATTCAATGCAATCCCTTTTAAATTAGCAATTTTTTTGAAATAGAAAAAGGAACCAACAAATTATGTGGAATGTCAAGCGACCATAAAGAGCCCAAAAATGTTTAAAAAAAAAACAATGTTAGCGGCCTCAACTTTTCTGATTTCAAAGCACATTACAAAGCAACAGCAATGAAAACAGTTTGTTTCTAGCATAAAGACAGACAATTTTTCCAATAAAACAGAAGGTAGCACAGACGTAAACCTCGCACATATGAGCAAATAGTTATTTGCATACCCATATTCGTTGCAGCATTATTCACAAAGGCCAATAGGTGAAAGCAACACAAACTTTCCTCATAGAATGAATAAATAAATATAATTTGTAATACAAAAGTAATGGAATATTACTCAGCTTTTAAAGGCAGAAAATCTTGTAGCATCCACAATAAAGAGAAATCTTGAGAACATGATGCTAAGTAAAATTAGTCACAATAAAACAGATACTCTATGATTCTACTTATATGTAATATCTAAAGTATTGAAACTTAGAACCAGAAAATAGAATGATTTTTATCATGAGCCAGGTGGTAAGGAAAATGGGTAGTTGTCATTTCATGTGTACTGAGTTTCAGTTTTGCAAAAGAAAAAAGTTTTCAAATATGTTGCAAAGCAATGTAAATACATTAACATGACTGAACTGTATAAGAAAAAATGTTAAAGATTCTAAATTTTATGTTATGTATTTTTACCACAATCGAAATTAAAAATGACACCCAATGGCCAAGAGAGATGGCTCATGCCTGTAATCTCAGCACTCTGGGAGGCTGAGGCATGCAGATTACTTGAGGCCATGAGTTCAAGACCAGCCTGGCCAACATGGTGAAACCCCAGCTCTATGAAAAACACAAAAATTAACCAGGCGTGGTGGTGCACACTTTTAATGCCAGCTACTCAAGAGGCAGCAGCTGGAGAATTGCTTTAACCTGGGAGGTGGAGGTTGCAGTGAGCCAAGATTGTGCCACTGCACTTTGGCGACAGGGTGAGAGTCTGTCAAAAAATAAATAAATAAGTAAAGACACCCGAAGAGAGAGAGTTACAAAGTTTTTGAAAAATTATCTTCAAATCGCATAAGTCTTTCTTTCACACTAGGATAATATAAACAATAGATGTTGAAATTAAGACAATTTCCATGATTACTCACTTAGACAGAATCAATTATTGGCCATCAAACAAGAAGAAAATGCACAAGTCATAAACAAAATAGGGGCAATATTTATACAAGCAAACAAACAATTAAATCATTATATTAACAAAAGACCATAGGGATGGTTCATATTTTTTGCCTCACACTGTCTTAAGGTGTACAGATTTGAATATTGTCATAGAAAATTATATTATATAAATTCAAACTAAAAACAATAAACTGATGTAAGGTGCCCTACCCTAAAACATGAAACACAGAAATGCAAAATTGCAAAACAAACTTAAAAGAAACCTTCCCCGAATTCTTACTTGAATAATGTAATTCAAAATCATAATAAATAGGTAGAAAGTAAAAACACAATTAACTGCTGTGAGACAGCCTACTCTAAAAAATACAGAAACATAAATTCTAAAACATAATTAAGAGAAACTTTGATCTATAAAATCCTGAATAAACATAGTGTCCAACTGAAAAAGAATCCTAGGTAACTACAATTTTCAACTCTTCCTTTGAATCCGTAAAAAGTATAAATTTTGAATTATTTGGATACAATTAGGGCAACAACATTTCAAAGAAACCATATTATAATTATTAGAAAGAGATGTGATGAGAAAGTTTTAAGAAATAAAAATTTAAGTAATACTAGAGAAAGTTTTAAATTATGCTACTGATGCATTGCTGCTTTCCTTACACAAAAGGGTAAGGCTGTAATCTAGCCTTTAATAGAAAGGTCTTACATTTTTACATATGGTGACAATATAAATATTGTAAATACAGTATAAAACATTGACAGATAAAATAAAAACTGGAAATAAATTGTACTATTAGTCAAATAAAAGTTGGGAAAACTGGAAGAAAATGTTAATAGTAACATTGTGCCTAGAGTCAATTAAACATACAAGCCAAATATTTTAATAATTAATTATATAATTGATACATAACATATACATTTGGGCATGCTGTTTTACAACTTCTCAAACTGAAATTACAGAAAAATGTGACACATGATAATTCAGAAAGTGAAAACACAGTCATAGTAATCTTCATATTAAAGAAAACAGAATCATAAAATAATAAGTGAGAAATAAGGTAATAATTGTGAATTCAATATATGTTGAACAATATTCTAATTTCCCTTACGGAAAAAGTTTTTGTAAGAAATCTGTAAAATGAGTACTTACAATAAACCATCCTACAGTAGAGGCTGTTGGCATACAGTGTTTAAATTTCTATGATTAGGTCCTACTAAGGAAAAGAAAATTTTAAAATAAAATAATTAGATTTTCCTATTTAATAAGATAATTTTTGCCTATAAAGTTTTTCAGTCTAATTTTTTTGTAGAATTAGGTTTTAGCTTTCATAAAACTTGACATTATGAAGCAGAAAACAGGTGTCATCTGTCTCTGTTGTTCCTATAATTTCTAACCCAAATGCCAATTCCTCCACAACTCCCCTCACACACTTCTGAATTGAAGCAGAACAGATTTATTAAAAATGGCATAACAGCGGTCTCCAGAAATGTGCAGAGATTTTCCCAGATCCCCAAAAGCAATGACAAACTATTCAGATCATTTAGGTTCTCACAAGATTCTGGGAGGACTTCGGCTTTCAGTGTGAATGCACTGGAAGATTCTAAGAGAGAGGGAGAGAGAGAGAATGTGTGTGTGTGCTTGTGTGTGTGTGTGTGTGTGTGTGTTGAAATCAGAACCCCACCTTATGTGTTTATTGTGGAATTTGGAAATGAAAGCCTAAAGCCCAAAATTAAAATCACACATGATAGCACGTTGCAAACTGTTTTCTGTGCTAGATGGGTCGTTCTAGGGTGTAGGACCCTGGTAACACCGTTTTCCCCTCCTTCCGGAAAGAGCTACTCACACTGCTCAAAGCCTGCATCCACATGTACCATGTCAAAGACCAGCTCAAGAGCCTGGACCCATATGCCACCTTCAGCAGGGTTGACTGCAGCTCCTTGTTCTTCCTGAGCATCTTCTCCAATGGTGACCTGAGAGTTGCGGGAGGCATTGGGGCCAGGATTGAACAGAGGAAAAAGGAGCATGGAGGCCAGGTGCTGAGGACCAGGCCATCTTACCTGGAGAGTTCTGGCTCTGAGACATCCAGACCAACATGACGTTTAGGTGCAGACAGCTGGCCCTGGGTGGCCCTGTGCTGATCACCGGCCTCAGCCCCTCAAACAGTGGGAAATGGAAGAATGGCTTGGAAATGGGCCCTGTCGACTGTGTGTCATCTGAGCACATTCTCCCAGGGGCCCAAGAAGGGCCATCGTGTCTCCAGAACCAGAACTGGAAGGTAAACTGTCAGGGGGGACAAGGAAGAGGGTCCTCAGTTGGGTGGAGGGTCTCACAGCAAGACGCCTGGCTTAATCAAGCTTGGCCATTCCTGAAGCACGTTCAGTGACTAAAAGTGCCTACCATGAGCAGCTGGAACCCACTCCCTGAGAGCTGCAAGATCCATGGGGACCTCATGTACCTGTTTGTAATTACAGCCAAGGACCAGCAGCAGGCAGCATTACTGCATCCACATGGGCTTTTGCTGGAACCAGTAAGTCTCAGCCAGCCCCTCCCAGGCTCCTGGGATGCCACTTGTTCTGGGTCTGTGGACAGATAACCAGGATACTTGCTCAGTGTCCATCCACTCCTTGTGGTCTGAAGCCTATCGCTCAACCCTAGCCCCACCAGACCTGCTTCCTAAGCCATTCCTCATGCCAGAAGGAAAGGCAATGCCTTTGTCCCACAGCCCCTGCCTTGTGTCATGTCATGTGGGGGTATGGAATGAATCGTCAGCCGAAACTCCAGTCCTTCTGCCTGAGAAATCTATCCCCTCTGTCTGAGTTACCCTCTAGGGAGCTGTCAGTGGGAGAGAGAGCAGCTGTGGAAGAGAGTCCCACCTGCTTCTGTTTGACTTCAGGGCAGCCTCTCAGGGCAAGAACCCAGAGCAGGTGGAGGCCTCACAGAAGCCTGTGGCAGGGCTCTGGGCTTGATGGGCTGAGCATCTCCCTATCTGCTGTCTGCAATGGGGCCCAGAACCATCCATTCAAGAGGGTCACCACCATATTGCAGGTGTGCAGCTGGACTGTTCCCAAGGCAGAGGCTGCCATGGACTGCAAGCACACAGAGGATGTACACCTTGAGCGTGGACTATGAGGAGAACATTTTTGAAGAGGTGCATGCAGCCTGGCCCTGCCTTCACTGGGAACCCCCTTCCTTCTGGGTACTAGACAGAATTCTGTACACTTTCCTGGAGGCTCCATTCTGGTCTGTTCATTTGGAAGTTTCAGGCTGTCTGTGAGGAAGTAAAAAAAAGAGATGTCTCAAAGCAGGTTGTGGGGCACAGGCTGAGCCCTTGTCTCCCTCCCTAGTCCCTCTGCAGACACGGGGCTGGAAGAAGGACCTGTGGATAATAAGGGAACTGCTCTTCGAGAACCGGCCTGAGCAGCTGCTTCAAGAAAGAGCCACATTAAAGGTGCCTATAGCCCCTGATGAGGGAATGGCAGCCTCAGGCCCGCCTGCCATCTGTGAGCAGGTTTTCTTCCTAACAGGATGAAAGCAAAGAAAGCTGGAATGAGCCCAGCCCTCTCAGGCAGCTTGAAGGCTGTTGGGGCTCTTTCCAGGCCTTCTAGCCTTATGCTTTTTGGCAGGCCACTTAGGCACCTTTTTCCAGCCTCTGAGACTTCCATGTTCTGGAAGGAGAGGGTCCCACTTTTCACTAGGCTATGGGGCAGGCCCATCCAGCTCCCAGCTGCCACTAACAACCATGGGGCTCTCACCTGGGCACCCACTGCCCAAACATGGCCCTTCTAAGGCAGAAGATCATGTGTCTTGCAGTTTCAGCTTGCTAGGGCTTAAAAGTTATCAGTGCTGTTATTAAGATAGGGAAGTGAGAAAGGAAAACTTGCTGTAAAAGTTTCCCATAATCTTACCACGGAGATCATCAGCACAGATGACAGCACAGGTGGGGCTGCTGGGGAGGCTGAGGGAGAGTGTCCAGCCTGTTCTGCCAGCTGGTCCTTGCCAGGGGTGTCTCGTGACCCAGTCCCTTAGAGAAGCATGCAGATATCTTAGCAAGTATCTGGAAGGTGCAGATCAGGGCAACCCAGCACCACTGATGGTGGAGTGGGCCTACCTCCCATCAAGCTGTGTCTCCACAGCTGACCCTTGAAGCCAGGAGGTGATTTACAACATGTGCAAGGCAGTGAGCTCCATCAGCTGTGTGGCCTTCAACATTCACTTCAACTCGGACATCTCACCAGAAAGCAGTGGGGACTGGCCAATGCAGAAGCCTGCAAAGTGGAACAGAGCGTCATGGGGTGGGGGATGTGGGGCCTGCCTGCTCATCTGAGCACTGCTCCCTGAGGGTGTGATCTGCAGGCTTCCTGAAGGAGGGCTGTGAGCTCATCTGCGAGGCCCTGAGCCTGTGGAACATGGCTGAGGCCAAGCCCATGGGGATTTGTGTCTACTTGCACCTCCTTGCTCATCTCAGTACACTACAGGTGACTGTGCCGAGGTGGGCCTTGAGCATCCCCTGGGCTGTGTTAGCAAGGGGCTCTGGGCCTGGCCTGGCATTGAGGGATGGCAAATAAGGGGCCTGGGGTTGCATTGTCACCCCCTATGGTAGCATAAAATGAGAGAGTCCGACCTGCAGGACTGGAACCCTATCAAGGGGGTTAGGAGGCTGCTCACTTTCCCTCAGGAACCCATGTGGAGGAGCTGAGGGAGGTTAAGGAGACCCTAGGGACTCACTTGTTCTGTCTGGGCTTCCCTCTGCTCCATCGTTTGATGACCATTTTCTGGGAAGAGCTCAGGAACCTCCTGTGCTCTAGTGAGATGGGGCCTCCCCTCACAGGGTATTCTGAGACTGTGAGTGAGAAGCTAACACAGTGCCTTGCAATACTCACGGGAGCTGTCATCCTCTGTGACCATCACGTGGCCTTGTAGTGTTCAGACTGCCTGGCCTGCCTGGGGTTTGGTGAGGCTGTTTTCTGGTCAGCTGCTTTAGAATCTCACTTTCTCTGCAATCAAACAGTGACTGTCTTTGTGTCTGTTTATGGGTTTAAAAAATCCTAATATTTCATTTATAGTAGTTTCAGCTTGCATGTGTTTATTTGTATAAATTTTATTAGAATAAAGAAAGCTTAAGACAACAGCATTTTAAGGTCTTAATGAGGCATAGACTTTCATATCACAACAGCTATTGTTGACCTCTGTTTGCTACCTTTATGTAATGTATACACATAAAGTACAGCCAGAGGTGACTAGAGCTGAGCTTCTTGGGCTTGCTTGCTGGCCTGCAGTCAGGTGGACTCTGGCTGTGAGGCGGTGCCCACCCTGGATCTACATCCCCCACCCTCTCTCCTTAGTCCCTGAGTAACCAACAAGGCCGTGCTAATGAGCGGGCAAGTGATGGGCATCGGGTACCCCAATACTATCTGGGAAGATTTGAATGCCATCTGGGCTGGAGCTGTTGGGATTAGGGTCTGTGGCTGCCTTGGCTTGTCATGGTGCCACCCACAGATGTGCCTGCCCTGTGCTGCTTCTCCAGCAACCGGCTGCCCATGGCCCTGAGCCTGTCACACCATTCTTGCTACCTCATACTGCTTGTGTTTGAAAAACCCATCCAGAGATGGCATTGCTGGATGTGAGTGCTGAAAAGGGGGCAGCACCTTTGTCCTGGGGGATTAGGAGCTGACCAGATTCCTCCTGACTCCCTCCCAGAACAAGTGGGTCAGGTGCTGCAATTAATGATGCCCCCCAGAAGATGTGTTTACACTGGCTGAGCAAATACACTATGCAGAATCCTAAATGAAGACACGTGAATGGGGTGTATGGACATCAGTTAGCAACTGGGAAACAGGTGCCTCTCAGGTCTCTCGTGCTCCAGCAAGTGTGGAATATGCCTGTGCCCATGAGTGTAGACATCTGGAGTGTATACATTTGGCTGCTGCTTTTGCTGCCACTATCCCCAGGTCCAACCTGGCTTAAAGTCCAGGTTTTAAGTAAAAAAATGGGAGGCTTTTTGCCATACAGCTACTTGAGAGGCTGAGGTGAAAGCATCACTGGAGCCTAAGAGTTTGAGGCTGCAGTGACCCATGATTCAGCCACTGCACTGACACAGTGAGACCTGCGTGTGCCTTTCTACAGAGAATACCTCTGGGGCATTTGGGGATCCCTACAGTCCGGGACATCTCCCTGTCCCCTGTGGCCTGTGCTTCTTCCCTTGCCTGCTGTCAGAGCCTAACATGGAGGAGGAGGTTGCTGCCCTGTGAGCCTGAGGGAGCTGTGTCTGACTGGGGCTTCTGTCTGGGGTTTTGCGAAGAGCTACTTATGAATATGGTCTGTCCAGATACCTTGTTTCAAAGGAAGTGAGCATGAGCTAGCAAGTGTAGCCACCCCACAGCTGATAAACAACTTTGTCTTGTTTTTAAATCATCAGTCTTCATTTCACATTGGAATAAAGTAATTGAAACATGCTACCCCAGCCTCGCCCGTGTGTTCTGTAAGCCAGACTCATTTCGTTGTGTGGGCTGTTGTCAGAAATGTTATAAAAAAATTATGCATAAATAAGATCAAATGTAAAAGTATGCTTATAATGTCACTTGAGTGGGTGGTAAGAGGGTAGAGTCACAGGAAATCTGTTGGGGTTTACACCCCTGCTACTTACCAAGCTCATGAGAGTGTGGCAGAGGTGATCATCACCTGATATTTGTGGCAGAAGAGAAAAGTCCAGCGTGAAGGCCAGGTAGGGGAGACGTGCCAGGCTGTGGGGCCAGGCCCTGCACATGCTGGGCCTGTTATGTCACTGAACATCTAACTGCCCAGGAAACGGCTCTTTTCACATCATCTGAGGTAAGAGGATGGAGAAGCACTCTCCAGAAGTCACACTGCGCTGGGAGAATGGAGGAGAGCCTACAACTCACCATCCTAAGGTAGGTTTTAGATTGAGCTGAACTGTCTTCGAGAGCTAATGAGATGGGAGGAAGACAGTCCCCCAGGTGCACCTGACAGCCAGAGCCTATGAAGTTAGGGGGGTTGTGTGGGGGTGGCCTGTCCCTATGAGAAGAGGAGCTTAAAGCTACTAAAGCTGGTGGCCGCTGCTCTGCCATCCCTCTACAGAGCAGGCAGGTCCTCAGCTGCATGTATAGCTGAATCTCTTTTGGAGTGTTAGAGACTCCTCTATGTCTTAGAAATTTTGAAAAGAAAAACAAATCTCAATTTTAATGTTGATTGGTTTCTCTGAGCCAGTTGGGAAAAAAGATGTCCTTCACCTCAAAGGTTTAAGTGACACCGAAGGGTAGCCACCAGTGTCTCGGCCACTGAAGCCTCATGCATGCTCCCACTACCAGTTTGATTTGCAGCCCCATAGTTGTGTTGTACTAAATATTCTTTCCTCTGGCCTTGTCCAGTGAACACGGTTCACATGGCTAACACCACTTCTTGAGATGCGAGCACCATGCAAAGCTGAGAACGGATTGGGTTTTGTGACCATTGTGCCTCCTCCTCACCTGAGAGGCCCATTTTTCCTGGTTGATTCATTAAGTGTATTAGTGCTGTCAGTCGCCTCTGGACAATTGAAATGACAAGTGGCTGTTGATTCATAAAGAAAATGAAGGCTTTAGATGCGAAACCCTCATTTTCTCTTGTCCTTCTCTTAGGTGAAAGATTTTATTTTTTTCAAAAGGCTACATACTGGTATCCCAGCAGGTGTAGTGTGAGAACTGGCATATGTTAGGCTATGGTGTCAGTGTGGATGGGCAATTCTTCAAGATGGAAAACCAAGTCTCACTGAGTTGCTGGAGCCACAGTGACCTTTCTCCACATCCCCCACCGTGGGCTTTCACTTTTCTCCTGTGCTTGAATTTTTTTCACATACAAATTCTTTATACACACACACAGACACACACACACATATCTCACTCTGTCAATGCAGTGGCTGAATCATGGGTCACTGCATCTTCAAATTCTTAGGCTCCAGTGATGCTTTCAAATCAGCCTCTCAAGTAGCTGGGACTACAGGCATGCAAAGCTACACCCAGACAATTTTTAAATATTTTTCTAGAGACTGAGCCTACTTATGTTGCTCAGACTCGTCTTGAACTCCTGGGATCAAGCGATCATCCCACCTTGGCCACCCAAAGTGTTTAGATTACAGGTATGAGCTAGCACTCTCAGCAAAAATATATTTTAAAGAACCATTACAACCAAATTATGAGTTATCATTATGCCACTGCCCTCCAGCCTGGGCACCAGAGCAAGACCTTGTATCCAAAAACTAAGCAAAACTAAGCAAGAACAAAAAAAAAACCTTATAACTAAATTAAACTTTGAAGATTGTGTCATCTGTGTCCTTCCCTGCCCTCCAAGCTATCAATGTTAAATATAATGGTTATTGAGAAAATGGTTAGATATTATTAAGAAATTTCTATATATCCTCCAGCTGAGAATAGGTATTCTGATGTGGCCCAAATATTTTCTCACCGCTACCTTCAGGGTCTAAACTAGCAAGTCAGGACACCTGCAGAGGACAGTTGACCATTTTCAAATAGAAAGAGAAATACCCCGTTCATGAGAGTAATCCAGTGATTTTCAAAAAGACAAGACACACTGACATCCAGCGCAGTCAGGGCACAATTACCTTGGAAAAATCACCTCACACAGAATGGTTGAGGAGACTTTCTAAGGTGAGCAAATTTGGGAAACATAATCCTTTCTTATTTATTTCCAGCCCCCGCTGCCCCCCTGATTCCTAATGGTCACACAACAGTGTGGTCAGCAGTGGGGTGCAGTGTTGTGAGAGAGGGGCTCAGGGATGGGATGAAGGTCTTTACCGCGTTACAAAAATGCAGGTTAAAAAGTTGCTAAAAAGATGTCTAAATATTCTAATTCCTACTGTTACATAGCTGCTAAGATGCATTATACAACAGACCCAGGTAAGGGAAAGAGCATGTGCATTTCAAGTCTCAGCTCACGTCTGAATTAGCTGTGATACTCTGGGCACGTGACCCCAAATATAGGAGCCTGTTTGCCTGTCAACCCAAAACAATCCTAAGCAAAAACAACAAAGCTTGAGGCATCCTGCTACCCGACTTCAAACTATACTACAAGGCTACAGTAACCAAAACAGCACAGTACTGATACCAAAACAGATATATAGACAAATGGAACAGAACAGAGGCCTCAGAAATAACATCACACATCTACAACCATCTGATCTCTGACAAACCTGACAAAAACAAGCAATGGGGAAAGATTTCCTACTTACCAAATGGTGCTGAAAGAACTGGCTAGCCACATTCAGAAAACAGAAATTGTACCCCTTCCTTACACCTTATGCAAAGATTATCTTAAGATGGATTAAAGTCTTAAATGTAAAACACCAAACCATAAAAACCCTAGAAGAAAACCTAGGCAATACCATTCAGGACATAGGCATGAGCAAAGACTTCATGAATAAAATACCAAAAGCAATCACAACAAAAGCTAAAATTGACAAATTAGATCTAACTAAACTAACGAGCTTCTGCACAGCAAAAGAAGCTATCACCAGAGTGACCAGGCAACCTACAGAGTGAAAGAAAATTTTTGCACTCTATCCATGTGTCAGAGGTCTAATATCCAGAATCTACAAAGAACTTAAACAAATTCACACACACACACAAAAAAACCATCAAAAAGTGGGCACAGAATATAAACAGACTCTTTTCAAAAGAAGATATTTGGCTGGGCGCGGTTGATCAAGTCTGTAATCCCAGCACTTTCAGCCGTGGAGGCAGGTGGATCATGAGGTCAGGTGTTCAAGACCAGCCTGGGCCGCATGGCGACACCACATTTCTACTAAAAACACAAAAAATTAGTAGGATGTGTTGGCGGGTGACCTGTAATCCCAGTTTCTGGGGAGGCTAAGGCAGGAGAATCACTTGAACCTGGGTGGCAGATGTTGCAGTGAGCCGAGATACTTCCACTGCACTCCAGCCTGGGTGACAGAGCAAGACTCCATCTTAAAAATAATAATAATAAGTAAAATAAATAGAAAAAGAAGAAGGAGAAGGAGAAGGAGAAGAAGAAGAAGAAGAAGAAGAAGAAGAAGAAGAAGAAGAAGAAGAAGAAGAAGAAGGGGACCTTTATGTGGTCAACAAACACAAAAAAGAGAAAAGCTCATCATCACTGGAGACTAGAGAAATGCAAATCAAAACCACAATGGGATACCTTCTCACACCATGTTGAATGGCAGTTATTAAAAAGTTAGGAAACAACAGATGCTGGTGAGGCTGTGGAGGAATAGAAACACTTTTACACTGCTGGAGGGAGTGTAAATTAGTTCAACCATTATGGAAGACAGTGTGGTGATTCCTCAAGGATCTAGAACCAGAAATACCATTTGATCCAGCAATCTCATTACTGGGTATATACCCAAAGGAATATAAATCATTCTAGCATAAAGACACATGCACTCATATGTCTATTGCACCACTGTTTGCAATAGCAAAGACTTGGAACCAACCTTAATGCCCATCATTGATAGATTGGAAAAAGAAAATGTGGCACATATACACCATGAAATAATATGCAGCCATAAAAAGAATGAGTTCATGTCCTTTGCAGGGACGTGGATGAAGCTGGGAACCATTAACCTCAGCAAACTAACACGGGAACAGGAAAGCAAACACCATATGTTCTCACTCATATGTGGGAGTTGAAAAATGAGAACACATGGACACCTGGAGCCAAAGATCACACACTAAGGCCTGTTAAGGGGTTGAGGTCAAGGGGAGGGAGAAAATTAGGACAAATACCTAATGCATATGGGGCTTAAAACCTAGATGGCAGGTTGATAGGTGCAGCAAACCACCATGGCACATGTAAAACTATGTAACAAACCTGCACGTTCTGCACATGTATTCCAGAACTTAAAAACAAACTAACAAAAGTGCACTAAGTCTGAGGGGGAGTGGGGGTAAGGGCAGGAGTCAGGCTCGGGTGGGTGCGTCCTGGAGTTTTATCCAATCATTGACACTGATGTGGGAACCGCCCAATCAGGCGCGCAGTTGGAGAGGACAGGAGAGGAGGGCGTGGCTTCCTGCATTTGGCGGGGTCTTTGTCTCTCGCTGGCGCTGGCACAGGAACTTGGGATCCGTCTCCTCTTTCGCCTCCTGCACCTTGGGAGCCCCGGGCTACTCTCCCACAGCCCCTGTTGCCCTGTGATCTGTAGGTCCTTGGGGACGCATAGTCAAGGTGCCAGGACATCCTGGAAGCTGGGAAATGGTGAGTATACGGGGTTCGCCATCCCGAGAGGGGAGAACAGACTGTGAAACCGGCAGGACCGTCCTCCCCACGGTTAGCTCCGAGTCTCCCGCAGCTTGGCCCTCAGTCCCCTGTGGCTGCAAGATGGCCGCTGGGCCAGCAGCGAGGGCCCCACGTCCCGTCCGGCCCATCCGGTCCTGTCCCTGGGCAGCGCCCTGCTCTGCGCCCACAGCCATGAGTATTTCCCAGATTGTTCAGGGAGGCCTGGTGGGTCATCAGGGAAAAACCGCGACTGGGTGTTTGCGTGGGAGGAGCTGCGGCCCGTGGGGTCCCCAGTCTCTCTTGTTAAAAATTAACGGGAGTCTATGTTAAACGTTAACCAGTTTATCTGAACAAAGAGTGATTGGTGAAATGGAAAGCACCCAGCCATGATTTCTGGTCCACCAGAGGGGCATAAAGGAAAGGCTTTCATAAGATGCATGAGAAAGCAGCCCAAATTCAAGAATTGGTTCCAGTTATATGGTAGCCTTATTTGAACTATCCAGATGGAAATGTCCTGGTTACATATTCAGAGGTTAATTGCATGTTTGTCATGGGTTAAACCTGCATTTTGCTTCAGGCTAAGATAGTGTTTTATAGGAAATATATTTGAGTTAGGTTTTAGATTTTTTTTTGTTTGTTTTTTGTTTTTTACCTATGAACACAGGGCACTAGAGCCACTTTAGACTAATTTTCTGATCTTTAATTATTTTAACACTCCAGAGGAGGACTGGTTTTCTCCTGTGTTTTTTTAATGTATGGCAAGTGGAACCTCTAATCGACCACCCTGTTTTTCATCCTAACTCAGGCTTGCAGTAAAATTATCAGTTCCCACTTTCTTTGCTGCATTCTCAAATGCAACACATGAGACCAGCTTTCCCTTGCCAATTTACAATGCTGTTAACTATATGTCCTTTATTATACATTTCATTAAAGTTTTCTATTATTTGGTTTCTTTCTACTTCTCCCTACAGTTCTGGCAATATTTGCTTTTTATATTTAGAAGCCTCCCTTTTGGGTGCATAAATATATAAAGCTATATTCTCTTGAGAAATTAACCTCTATTATTATTCTATGGTAAACTCATTTCATGCTTGTGAGAGACATTGCTAGAAAGTCTATTTTGTCTAATTTAAGCATTACCGTTGCACTCCTTTGGTTATTGTTTGCATGGAATATCATTTTCTATCCTTTCACTTTTAGCCTATGCTCTTAATTCATAATTGAGTCTCTTGTAAGCAGCATATTACGAGGTTTAAACGATTAATTTATCCACTCTGTCTGCTTTAGTCTCTTTTGGCTGCTATAACTGAATATCACACACTGGTAATTAATAAAGAATAGAATTTTATTTGACTTATGATTCTGGAGGCTGGGAAGCCAAAACAACATGATACTGGTATATGTTGAAGGTCTAGTTGCTGGATAATAACATAGACAAAGATGTGAGGGAGAGAGAGCTTTTTTTTTTAATATATAACAGATCCATTCTTGTTATAATTAGCCCATTCCCATAATAAGAACATTAATCCATTCATGAGGGCAGAGTTCTTAGAGCTTAATTAATTTTTAAAGGTTCCACCTCTTAATTCTAACATGTTGGCTATTAAATTTTATCCTAAATTTTGGAGATGACATTCAGTGTACAGCAGTATCTGTTTAGTAGATACTTTAATCTTTTTATTTGTAAGGTAGTGATAGGTAAGGAGTTACTATTGTAAATTTGTAGTTTTCTGTCCATTTTAAGTTTGCTTCTTTTTTTTCTGGTTCTGTCTTTCCTGTGGTATTGTTCATTTTTGTTGAGACAAAGTTATGCTTTCTTGCTCAGACTGAAGTGCAGTGGCATATCACAGCTCACTGTAGCTTCAACCTCCTGGGCTCAAATAATCCTCCCACCTTAGCCACCCAAGTAGCTTGGACTACAGACACGTACCACAACACCCAAGGAGATTTCATCCTTCCACCTTGGCCTCCCAAAGTGTTGGAATTATAAGCAGGAGACACCATATCCAATGTGTAATTTTTGTTGTTTGTGTATGCTTTAATTACTTTCTCTTTTTCTTTACTGCAGTTTTTTTTTCCTAGTGGTTATCATGAGACTTAGGTAAAACATCTTGTATTTTAATAGTCTAGTTTAAGATGATAACAATTTATAGTATTCTGAAATTCAGTATGTATTTACCATTTTAGTGACATTTATACTTTAGTATTTTTCATATTGTTAGTTAGCATTTCATCATATCAATGTGAAGATTTCTTCCAGACCATGGCTGGAGAAGGAAAGAAGGTGTGTTTTGCCTGACTCAGTGACTATAGAGAGAACCAAGTTCTGCAGGCCTGTCACCTAAGTCTCAGGTGAGTATGAATTCTCTTGTGTTTTTCACAGATTGTTGCAGTGGCAGGACCAAGGTCAAATGAGTTATAGCCAAGTCTACAGTAAGATGTGGCAGTATTCTGTTTTGAAGCCGGGACCATGATTGGCAAGCTTGCCACTTGGTCAAGTGCTCACCCTCTGAAAATGTCTTCCTTGGTCTTTGCCTCCAGCTGGGTGCCACAAACTCTGAACTGGATTCCAAGGCTTTCATGAATGCACTTATGTTTGCTGTGGCAGCTGCATTATGTCGTGGGGGATGTGGATGCAGAACCTCACATTCTGTCGTCTTGCTTATGTTACTCTCCTTTATGTTTCACTTTCTCAAATGAATGTCAAGCAGGTGATTTTCAGATTCAAAAGTTCTAAAATAAATTGCTCAAATTTATACATTATGTAAGCTGTTAATAAAATTTCTTGTAGGTGCTACATATTTGTTAAAATTTTTGGTTGTAATTTTAAGCTCACTGTAGGCAGAAAGGAATCATTAAGATTTCTATTCTTTTTTAGTCTGTATCTAAATGACCATATATTTTAATTCCAAATATTTACTTTATACTTCAGTAATGCTCATTGTATTTTGCAAAATTTATATTGTTCTTTTATTTGAAAATATAAGGCTTTTTTTAGCTCCTGAAAGCTATATTATAGTCATATAGTTTTATTATAGTATTTGATAAGAAGAGCAGCAACATATTGAGAACAGATAAAATTCTGCTGTCTTTTTAATGATTATTTATTAAATTCTTCTCATTAGAGCCTATTATTAATGATTGTAATGTATTTACTGTATAATTTTTCTGCAATTTATTAAATGCCAATGACTTCCAATGTCTGCTTTTCATGACTGCACACAGTTTAAAGCTGTAGATATCTAATGGGTTATTTTTCAGCCCGGCATGGTGGCTCACGCCTGTAATCCCAGCACTTTGGGAGGCCAAGGTGGGTGGATCACGAGGTCAGGAGATCAAGACCATCCTGGCTACCATGGTGAAACCCCGTCTCTACTAAATATAGAAAAAATTAGCCGGGCATAGTGGTGGGTGCCTGTATTCCCAGCTACTCGAGAGGCTGAGGCAGGAGAATGGCGTGAACCCAGTGGGCGGAGCTTGCAGTGAGCCGAGATGGCACCACTGCACTACAGCCTGGGCGACAGGGTGAGACTCTGTCTCAAAAAAAAAAAAAAAAAAAAAAAGGGCTTATTTTTCATTGTATATTTATGTTGTATTCAGGATTTTATGCATTTAATCTCTCTTCTTATGTTCAATTCTGTGTTGTTGTGTTTCTTTTCTTGGGGGGGTATGTTTTCTCAGATCAGTTAATTGTATTTTTGCTTTTAAAGCTTGATATCATGAGTTGAATGATAATTTTTTAACTCGGTACACTTTATGACAATGTGATATTTAATTTATATGTGAATTAGCCGTGTTTGTTGCTTATACATATATCTATGTGTTTTTCACCTATGTATGTCATTTTTTTCATCTTTTTTCCTTGTTTTTTTTTTTAAGTTTCAGATACGCTTTCTTTTTCTTTTTTTTGTTTTTTTCTTTTAAAGAGAATTTTAAAACAGAGTCAAATGAACAAAAATCAGTTATTTGTCCTCTTGCAGGGCGGGTAGACCTTCCTTCCCCACGGGTTTGAGGCTATGGCTAAGTGGTGAGCCTTGGGGAGATGCAGGAAGGATCCATCCCAGGCACTTGGCTAGAGGTAAGTAAAAATAGCCTTTGGACCAGAAGACCTGATAGTTTGGGTACTCGTCTGAACATAAGTCCCCATCTTCCCAGAAATGTCGTCTTTTGTCTGCAACAACTGGCTGGAGAAATATTTCAGAAAGATGTGTGCCTGGAACACCCAAAGACGTACCTTTCCTTTCTCTTTGGCATAGGCCTTGTAGCACTGTAGAAAGACCAGGTTTGCAATGGAGCCTTCAATACTCTTCATCCCTATGGATCTCAGGGGCTCATAGGGTGACAGGAGAGGAGACAAGCTAGCTTGGGAAGAGTCTTTGTACTTCAGCTTCTCCCCTACTGAAACACTATATACTTGGGGCCACAGTTCATCACAAAACACACATGCTCTCTTTCTTTCTCTCACACCCACATCTTGGGAACCCAACAACTTGATGGCAGGTAGCTCTGGGTATCCTTGGTCTGGCATTCACCCACTGGGCATCTAAGCTGTCCTAAAGCTCTTTTCAATCACTTCTCACTCTTTCCAGGCCCATGTGGGTAGGTGTTCCAGCCTTCACTCTTTCAGGCTGATCATAGAGGCACAGTGTGGGAAAATCCCCTACTGTGATGGCCATTGCTGGGAAGCAGGGAAGGTTAAGGGCCCACTGCTGCCCAAGGCTAGTGCAGAGGCCCTCTGCTCCTCCACTCATCTCCTCAAAGAATGATATCAGGTGCAGCAGCTGCTGTCTGGAATGTTATCAAACCAGGACTGCACAGGCACTGCATTCTCTGTGTGGAAGAGGTAAGAAGCAGGCTAGTTGTCCAGGATGAGTTTTCCTCAGGTCCCTCCCCAGATGGCTGACGTTCTTGACATAGCAGCCCTGGTGAAACAAACATGACTCATGGGTCAGGCAGCCCCAAACCATCCCATACCCGTCCAGCTCACCCGTCACAGGATCTGCCTACTTGTTCAGGCTGGGAAGAAGAGAGCAATGACGAAAACACATTTAAACATTTCCTCCATTCATGTCAGGAACTCATCCATATAAGGCCTCATGAGCACATGGATCTGGTGCATGGTCCCCTCAAGCTCTACAGGCACTAGGCAGTCAGCATTGCTGATTGGCTTAAAGGAGCTATGCACAAGGGTTTCATCCAGGTCAGTGACCATACAGATCCTTCCTTGATTTTTCTCTGTCACCTCTGGGAGCAGGCAGGTTCCTGGGATCTGATAAAACTGATATTGGAGACGCTGGAGCTGATCCGACATAGCAATGGTGTTGACTCCCTCCTTATGTGTGGATTGCTCAGCGGGGGAACTTGACTGTCCAACATGCTGGGTGCAAGAACAGCAGAAAGGGGACTTTTAAGATGTGGCAAACATGAGGCCTCTTCGGAGAGGACTTTGGAAACCAGGCCTTGCTTGGTAAGGACCAGGGCATCTTCCCTCCATGCCTGGGTGATGATGGAGCCTTGTTCCATCTAACAATCCTGAGGGCTGGGCTGGGGGGCATGGGCTGGGGCCTGATTCAGTTCCCGAGATTCTGACCTCCACAGCTGTTCACATACCCCTTCTCCTTTCCATACTGGTCGGGAAGGGAGGTGGCTTGTAGGGAGGGTGGTTGGCCTTGGCAGCAGCTCCCCAGTGTGCCCCCATCCCCGATTCCCCCAGCGAGAGCTTCAAGATCCTCAGTTTGGGTCTAACATAGAGAATCCACTAGAAACACATTTTTTTTTCAAGTTTTATTTTAAGTTCAGGGGTCCATATGTGATAAAGTTTATTTTTCAACTTCTATTTTAAGTTTAGGGGTCCATGTGCAGACTATGCAGGTCTCTTACATACATAAATGCGTACCACTGTGGTTTACTGCACAGATCATCTCATCACCCAGGTACCAAGCCCAGCATCCGCAGCTATTCTTCCTGATGCTCTCCTTCCCCTCCCCCATGCCATGAAACAGGTGTCCAGTGTGTGTTGTTCTTCCTGATGTGTCCATGTGTTCTCATTGATCTGCTTCTGCTAATAAGTTAGAATAATAATAGGCGGTGTTTGGTTTTCTGTTCCTGCATTAGTTTGCTGGGAGTAATGGCTTCAAATTCCAACCATGTCCCTGCAAGGGACATCATCTCATTATATTTTATGGCTTCATAGTGTTCCATGGTGTATGTGTACCACATTTCCTTTATCCAGTGTATCATTGATGGGCATGTAGATTGATTACATGATGTTGCTATTGTAAATAGTGCTGCAATGAGCATTTGTATACATGTATTTTTAAAATAGAATTATTTATATTCCTTTGGGTGTAATGGTATTGCTGGGTCAAATGGTAGTTCTGCTTCTAGGTCTTTGAGGAATCTCCACACTCTCTTCCTCAATGCTTGAAATAATTTACACTCCCACCAACAGTGTAAAAGTGTTCCCTTTTCTCCACAACCTCGCCAGCATCTGTTTTTTTTTTTTTTACTTTTTATTAATAGCCATTATAATTTGTGTGAGATGGTATCTCATTATGGTTTTGATTTGTATTTATGCAGTTATCAGTGATGTTGAGCTTTTCATGTTTGTTGGGCACATGTATGTCCTCTTTTGAGATATGTCTGTTCATGTTCTTTGACCCTTTTTTAATGGGGCCTTTTTTTTTTCTTTTGTAAATTTTGTTAAATTCCTCCTAGATTCTGGATATTAGACATTTGTGAGATGGATAGGTTGCATAATTTTTCTCCCATTCTCTAGGTTGTCTGCTCTGATGATAGTTTCTTTGGCTCCGCAGAAGCTCTTTAGTTTAATTAGACCCCATTAGTCAATTTTTGCTTTTGTTGCTATAGCTTTTTGCCTTTCTGTCATAAAGTCTTTTCTCATGCCTATATCCTGAATGGTATTATCTAGATTTTTTCTTCTAAGGGTTTTATAGTTTTGGGTTGTACATTTAAGTCTTTAATCCATCTTGAGTTAATTTTTGTACATGGTGTTAAGAAGGGTTCCAGTTTAAATTCTCTGCATATGGCTAGCCAGTTCTCCTGGCACCATTTTTTGAATAGGGACACCTTTCCCTAATTCCTTGTTTTTGTTAACTTTGTCAAAGATCAGGTTGTTGTAGGTTTTTGGCTTTATTTCTAGGTTCTCTACTTTGTTTCATTTGTCTATGTGTCTGTTTCTATACCAGTACCATGCTGTTTTTGTTACTGTACTCTTCTAGTATAGTTTGAAGTTAGGTAGAGTGACACTTCCAGCTTTTTTTTTTTTTCTTAAGGTTGGCTTGGCTATTTGGGCTCTTTTTTGGTTCCATATGAACTTTAAAAGTTTTTATTTTTCTAATTCTCTGAAGAATGTCAGTAGTTCAATGGGAATAGCATTGAATCTATGAATTACTTAGGGCCATATGCCCATATTCATGATACTGATTCTTCCTCTCCATGAGCATGGAATATTTCTCCATCTGTTTTGTGTCCACTCTGATTTCTCTGAGCAGTTGTTTGTGGTTCTCCTTGAAGAGGTCCTTCACTTTCTTTCTTAGCTGTATTCCTAGGTATTTTTTTCTCTTTGTAGCAAATGTGAATGAAAGTTCATTCATGATTTGTCTCCCTGCTTGCCTGTTGTTTGTGCATGGGAATGCTAGCTACTTTTGCACATTGATTTTATATCCTGAGATTTTGCTACTGTTGCTTATCACCTTAAGAAGCTTTGGGCCTGAGACAATGAGGTTTTCTAGATGTAGGATCAGGTCATCTGCAAACAAAGATAATTTGACTTCCTCTCTTTCTATTAGAATACTCTTTATTTCTTCCTCTGGCCTGATTTTCCTGGCCAAGGCTTCTGATACTATATTGAATGGTAGTGGTGAAAGAGGGCATTCTTTTCTTGTGCCAGTTTTCAGGTGGAACGTTTCTAGCTTTTGCACATTCAGTATGATATTGGCTGTGGGTTTGTTGTATATGGCTCTTATTATTTTCAGGTATGTTTCTTCACTTCCTAGTTTATTGAGAATTTTAAACCTGAAGGAATGCTGAATTTTATTGGATGCTTTTTCTGCATTTATTGAGATAATCATGTGGTTTTTGTATTTAGTTCTCTTTATGTGATGAGTCACATTTATTGATTTGCATATGTTGAATCAACCTTGCATCCTGGGGACAAAGCCAACTCCATTGTTGCGGATGAACTTTTTAATGTGCTGCTGGATTTGGTTTGCCAGTATTTTATTGAGGATTTTTGCACAGTGTTTACCAAAGACATTGGCATGATGTGTTGTTGTTGTTGTTGTTGTAGTATCTATGTTAGGTTTTGGTATCTGGATGATGCTGGCCTGATAGAATGAGTTAGAGAGAACTTCTTTGTCTTCAATTTTTTTTGGATGGTTTTAGGAGAAAAGGTACCATCTCCTCTTTGTACCTCTGCTCAAATTCAGCTTGCTTGGTAGGCTAGTTTTTACTGCCTCAGTTTCAGAACACATTATTGATCTATTCAGGGTTCAGTCTTGTGGAGGGTTTATTTTGCAAGGAAATTGTCTATTTCTTCTAGATTTTCTGGTTTATGTGCATACATATGTTTATAGTGTTCTCTGATTGTTGTTCATATTTCCATGGGATCAGTGATGATATCTCCCTTATTATTTCTAATTGTGTTTGGTTCTCCTTTCTTTTCTTATTTATTTGCCTAGCTAGTGTTCCATCTAGTTTATTAATTTTTTTCATAAAAACAGCTCCTGGATTTGTTGACTTTTTTTTTTGGAAGAGTTTTCAGTGTCTCTATCTCCCTCAGCTCTACTTTGATCTTGGTTATTTCTTGTTTTCTGCTACCTTTCTGGTTAGTTTTCACTTGGTTTTCTAGTTCTTTTAATCAAGATGTTAGGCTGTTAATTTTAGATCTTCTAGTTTCTCTTTTTTTTCTTCTTGTGGCAGAGTCTCACTCTGTCACCCAGGCTGGAGTACAGTGGCATGATCTCCGCTCATTGCAACCTCCACTTCTCAGTTTTAAGTGATTTCTGCTGTCTCAGCTTCCTGAGTAGCTGGGATTACAGATGTGCATCACAAAAACCAGCTAATTTTTGAATTTTTTTTGTAGAGGTGGGGTTTTGTTGTGTGGTCCAGACTGGTCTTGAACATCTGGCCTTAAGTGATTTGCCTACCCCAGCCTCCCAAAGTGCTGGAACTACAGGCATGAGCCACCACACCCAGCCCTTTCTATCTTTTTGATGTGGACATTAGTGCTATAAATTTCCCTCTTTTCTTGGTTTCCAGTGATTATTTTATTCTATCTTGGTGAGTCATCAGGGAAATAATCTTAAATTTACAATCAACATATAGTTTAAATCCATATAATTGTGTGAGAAGAACCCTTTGTTATTTGAAGGTGATGTTTGAAAGATTTTCTAACTGTGCCTTTTAGTTAGTCTTAAATTTCTAATTGTAGTTAAAAACATGCCATTGTCATTTCTGACATTTTAAGTATATGGTTTAGAAGTGGTTAGTATAGTTCTATTGTTTTGCAGTAGGTTTTAGATAATTTGTGTCTTACAAAAGTAAAAGTGAATACTCATTACTTATGAAAGAAGTTAGTTAGCTTGCCTTAGGTAGATAGCAAGAGAAGAGTCCCTGGAAAGTCCCTGGTCAGTGCCTCATCCCTGCATAACATATAAAGAAGCCTGGAAAAAATCAAGCTGCAGACACTAACAAGGGAACTAGCATATGTTGTTGTGCTTGGGGACATGCCCGTGGCTGCACAGATAGAAAAACCTCTGGCCCATTTGGATAAAAACTTGTAGAAACCTCCAGCTCACTCAGATAAAGGAACAAGAACGACCTAGCATAGAAATGCCTTTGTTTGGCCAGGCACGGTGGATCATGCCTGTAATTCCAACAATGTCGGAGGCAGCTGTGGGCGGATCATCTGAGGTCGGGAGTTTGAGACCAGCATGACCAAGATGGACAAACTCTGTCTTTACTAAAAATACAAAACTAGCCAGGCATGGTGCTGCATGCCTATAATCCCAGCTACTTGGGAGGCTGAGGCAGGAGAATCGCTAGAACCCAGGAGGCGGAGGTTGCTGTGAGCCGAGATCGCACCATTGCACTCCAGGCTGGGCAACAAGAGCAAAACTGCAAAAAAAAAATAAAAAAAAATAAAAAAAGAAAGTACATCTCAAAAAAAAGAAAGACAAGAAAAAGAAAAAAAAGAAGCACTTTTGTCTTTGTACAGTCAGTGGGCTCCCAGGAAAATGTTCCTTCTCTTTTTGTTGGCATGGGCACTGTGGGATCTGGTGCATTCCGGTCGACACTCTCGTTTATTTGGACTGTAAGTCTGACCTCTATGAATAATTACTTCAGCCCCTGAGTGCTCCCGGGCCAAGCTCCTTGGCCAAACTTTCACCTTAGCTTCTGATAAGTCTTGGGCCAAGCTAAGCAGCATCTATCAATCATCCCTTCAGCTCCTGATTGATCCCGGGCCAAAGGCCTGGGCCAAGCTGAGCCACACGTTTTTCAAGACAGCCTGTGAACTAGGCACGTATCCTTCCCTTCCCAGTCCATAAAAACCCTGGACCCAGCCTCGTAGAGGGCACCACTTTCAGACACCTATCTCTGCTGGCAAAGAGCTTTCTTCTCTTGCTTCTTAAACTTTCACTCCAACCTCACCTTTGTGTTCACGCTCCTTAATCTCCTTAGAGGTAGAACAAAGAACTCTGGATGTTATCTCAGACTACGAGAGACTGTTACATCTTGGTGCACTGCTGAGACTACGACACTTGGTTTCTTTGAGTTTGACTAAATGTTTTACATGAGTGTAATTATACAGCTTTCCTTTTTGACTGTCTTATTTTACTTAACAGAATGTTTTGAAGATTTGTCCTTATTGTAGTACTTTTCAAGATTTCCTTATTTTTAAGGCTGAATGCTATCCCAGTGATTGTACGTGCCTTGTTTGCTGAATCTACTCATCCTTAAGGGTACATTTGCTTCCAGGTAACATGTTTGTGAGTAATACTACAATGTGCATATATCTATTCCATGTTCTGCTTTGTCTGTTTGGGATATTTTTCATACACTGATTCAGTACCATGTGTATTCCCTTGCTTTTGTTGTCTCATCCGTTGATGCTACGTCCCCCAAATTATTGCCACGACCAGTTGTAATGAAGCTTCACCCTTCTGTATTGTGCTAGGAATTTTACAGTTATAGGTTTTACATTATAGTCTTCATTCATTTTTTAAAATTGACACATGTAATTGTGCATATTTTGGGGAAACAATTATATATATGTTTTGTATAACAATAAAAATCAGTACTTCTATATTTGTTGCCTCATGCATTTGTTATTTTTGTGGTGAGAATATTCAAAAGCTCCTTCTCTAGCTATTTTATTTTATCTTTATGTATTAATTTTTTTTAGAGACAGGATCTTGCTCTAACACCCAGACTGGTGTGCAGTGGTGCAATCCTAGCTCACTGTAACTTCAAACAGTCTTCTAACCTCAGCTTCCCAATTAGCTGAGACTACAGGAAGCTGCCACCATGCCTGGCTAATGTTTTAATTTTTCATACAGACGGGGTCACACTATGTTGTCCAGGCTCATCTTGAACTTCTGACGTCAAGTGATTCTCCTACCTCAATCTCCCAAAATGTATGGATTGCAAGAATATGCCACCGAAACTGGTCTCTTTTAGCTATTTTGTAATATGAGATAACTTTTCATTAATTATTATTATTCTACTGTGTAATAAAAAACAAAAACTTATTTCCCCTATCTAATCATAACACAATACCTGTGAAGCAGCCTTTTCCCATCCTCCTGCTTCAGTCTCTGGTAACCCCTGTTGTACTCTTTGCTTCTATCAACCCTTTTTTTCAGGTTCCTCAAATGAGTGAGATAATAAGATCATAAAGTATTTGTGTTTCTCTATGTGGCTTATTTTACTTAACATGGTATGCTCAAGGTTCATCCATGCTCTTTTAACTGACAGAATTTTATGCTTTCTTATGGCTGAATAGTATTTCGCTGTGTATATATAGTACATTTTCCTTATCCATTTATCTGTTGCTGTACATTTGAATTGATTCCATATATAAGCTATTATAAATAGTTCTGTAATGAACATGGGAATGCAAATATCTTTTTGACACAGTAATATCCTTTCTTTTGGATATACACCCAGAAGTAAAATTGCTGGATCATATAATAGATATATTTTTAATTTCTTTCAGAAACCTCCATACTATTTTCTATAATGGCCATACTAATTTACAATTCCACCAACAAGGTATACATCCACTCTTTTTTATATCCTCATTAGTTCTTGATTTATTTATTTATTTATTTTTATTATAGCCATTCTAATGGGAATGAGGTGGTACTTCATTGCAGTTTGGATTTGCATTTCCTTGGTGATTAGTAATGTAGAGCATCTTTTTATGTTCCAGTTAGCCATTTTTGTATCTCTTTTTGACAAACATCTATTAAGATCTTTTGCATTTTTTAAATTAGATTATAAGTGTATTTTATTTTGAGATTTTAAAGTTTCTTATATATTCTGAATATTAGCCTTTTGTCACATGTATATGAGAACATTTTCTGTCATCGCCTAAGCTGTCTCTTCAAACTTTTAGTTGTTTTTTTAATATGAAAAAGCATTTTAGTTTGACATAATGTTGTTTGTTTATTCTCGATTTTGTTGCCCATGTTTTGAAATCTTATTTTAATAATCCTTTCACCGTCCAATGTTATAAAGCATTTTTTTATGTTTTTCTCTAATAGTTTCATAATTGATGGCATTACATTTAAGTCTTTAGTTTTAGTTGATTATCATATATGGCAAGGTACAAGGGTCTAGTATTATTTTTCTGCATATAAATATTTAAATGGCCCTGCACCATTTATTAAAGAGATTAGTTTTTCTCTAAAGTGTGTTCTTGGTAATTTTGTTGACAATCAGTTGGCTTTAGGTGCATAAATTAACTTCTGGGCTTATTGGGCACATTAGTCTATGTGTTTGTTTTTATGCCAGTACAGTGCTGTTTTGGTTACTGTAGCTTTATAGCAAGTTTTGAAGTTTGATGAAGTGATGCCTTTAGCTTTGCTTATTTTGCTCAAAGTTGCTTTGTCTATTCAGAGTTTTTTGTGGATCCATATAAATTTAAATTTTTTTATTTCTGTCAAAAAATGTCATTGGTATTTTGATAAAAATCACATTAAGTCTGTAGATCACTTTGGGTAGCTATATCAACAGTATTCTTCCAGTGTATAAACACAATATTTTTTATTTATTCATTTGTATTTTATATTTTTTATCCATGTTTTGTCGTTTTCAGAGTAGAGATCTTTTACCTTTTTAGTTAAGTTTGTTGCTAGGTGTATTAGTTGGGCTTCCCTAGAGAGATCATGAGATCCCACAATAGGTTGTCTGCAAGTTTGAGGAGCAAGGAGAGGTGGTCCATGTCCCAAAGCTGAAGAACTTGGAGTCTGATGTTTGAGGGCTGCAAGTGTCCAGCACAGGAGAAAGATGTAGTCTGGGAGCTTAGGCCAGTCTCTCTTTTTCACGTTTTTCTGCCTGCTTTATATTCACTGTCAGCTCATTAGATGGTGCTCACCCAATTAAGAGTGGATCTCCCTTTCCCAGCCCACTGACTCAAATGTTAATGTCCTTTGGCAACACCCTCACAGACACACCCAGGATCAATGCTTTCTATCCTCCAATCCAATCAATTTGACACCCTGTATTAGCCATCACATTAAGTATTTTCATTTTTGTAGCTTTTGCATATGCAGAAGAAGAATTGGATGAAATTCAGCCTTGATTATGATGAAAACTCTCAACAAGTTAGGAATAGAAGGTATGTGCCTTAACTCAATAAAGGCCATTTATGAAAAAGCAATGCTAACTTTATACTGAATAAGGAAAAGTTGAAAGCTTTCTCTCTGAGATCTGGAACAAGACAAATCGTCCAAACTTTCAGCCCTCTTATTCAACATAGTACTGGAAGTCCTAGCCAAGGAAATTAGGCAAGAGGAAGAAATAAAAGTCATACTAATTGAAAGGATGATGTCAAATGGTCTCTGATTGTGGACAAAATAATCTTATATGTGAAAAACTCTAAACACTACACCAAAAACTATTAGAACTACTAAACAAATTCTGTAACATTGCAGAAAATTAACACAGTAGTAGCTTTCTGTATGATGATAGCGAACTATCTGAAAAATAAAATTTTAAATTCCGTTTTAATAGCTACCAAAAATTAGTTATTTTGAGTTTATTTCTTTATTTGTGGTGGAGCCTTTCTCTGTCACCAGGCTGGAGCGCAGTGACATGATCTCAGCTCACTGAAACTCTTGCCTCCCGGATTCCAGAGATTCTCCTGCATCAGCCGCCTGAGTGTCTGGAACTGCAGGCATGTGCCACCACCGCCAACTAATTTTTGTTTGTATTTTTAGTAGAGACGTTGTTTCCCCATGTTGGCCAGGATGGTCTTGATATCCTGACCTTGTGATTCACTTGTCTCAGTCACCCAAAGTGCTGGGATTACAGGTGTGAGCCACCACACCCAGCCTTGAGTTTATGTTTTTATCTGTTGCAAGTTAAAGTCTAACTTTGTTAGTTTTTCCTTGTAAATTTTTATTATTCCCAATACTGTTTGTTGAAGAGACTGTTCTTTCCTTTTTGTGATTCTTGGAACACATTTTAAAAATATGTTTACTATACCCATGAGGACTTATGTCTGGACTCTCTCATCTGTTTCATCATTCATTTGTCTTTATGTCAGTACCAAACTGTTTTGATTACTATATGTTCATAGTATGTTTAGAAAATAGAAAGTATGATGCCTCTGTCTTTATATTTTTTTCCCAATATTGTTTGGCTGTTTGTGATCACTTGAAATTCCATAAAAATTGTAGAATATTTTAAAACTTCTGCAAAAAGTTTCATTGGTATTTTGATAGAAAGTATATTGAATCAGCTGAGGGTTGTGGCTCATGCCTGTAATCCCAGCACTTTGGGAGGCTGAGGAAGGTGGAACACCTGAGGTCAGGAGTTCCAGACCAGCCATGGAGAAACCCCATCTCTACTAAAAATACAAAATTAGCCAGGTGTGGTGGCACATGCCTGTATTCCCAACTACTCAGGAGGCTGAGGCAGGAGAACAGCTTGAACCCAGGAGGTGGAGGCTGCAGTGAACTGAGATCACACCATTGCACTCCACCTTGGGCAACAAGAGCAAAACTCCGTCTCAAAATACAAAGAAAGAAAAGAAAAGAAAGAACATTGAATCCGTAGACCACTTTTGGTAGTAGTGACATTTTAACAATATTAAGTCTATAACCTCTTGAACAAGAGTGTGTTTGAGAATTTGTTGTTTAATTTTTACTTATTCTTTGACATGCTAGTGTTTTTAACTTCTTGTTTTATTGTATCATAGTTAGGAATAATTTGTGTAATTCCATCTGCTGAAATTTGCTAAGATGTGTTTTTTAACTTAACAGGTGGTCTATCTGGAATATTGTGGCATGTGTGATTAAAAGTATTGCATATTCTACTGTTGAGTGGAGAGATATAAATGTGACTGTTAGGTCTAATTGTTCTATTGTGTTGTTGAAATCCTCTGTTTACTTATTCATCTTATGTTTGTTTTTTAATTTACATTACTAAAAGTATGATAAAAAAGTCATCTACTGTTATGTGCTGGCTACTTCATGTTTCAATTCTGTAAAATGTTGCTTCATATTTTGGGAACTGTGATGTAAGGCACATACATTACTGTTGCTTTTATTGTTGCATGTTGTTTTATTGTTGCTTTTATTGATGTATGTTGTTTTTTGTTGCTTTTATTGTTGTTGTTTTTATTGTCCTTTTCTTCTTCTCTCTTGAGGAAGTTTTTGATATAATATATATTTTGTCTACCATGACAGTATTTGATTTTGCATTTAATTTTTTTTATTCTTTCATGTATGGCTTATGCGTGTTCCAGATCATAATGTGGTCATTTGTAGGAAGCAGAGAGTTGAATCTTGTTTCATGAATTTATTTAGTGAAAGTATGTTTTTGATTGACATAATTTATATATATATAAAATCATTACTAAAAGGGAATAATTTCCTATGACTTTCTATTGAATTTTGTTTCTTTTTTGTTTTAGGTCCTGTAGCTTTTTCTGTTGAGACGGAGTTTTGCTCTGTTGCCCAGGCTGGAGTGCAGTGGTGCAATCTTGGCTCCCTGCAAGCTCCGCCTCCCGGATTCACGCCATACTCCTGCCTCAGATTCCCCAGCAGCTGGGAATTCAGGCACCCGCCACCATGCCCGGCTATTTTTATTTTTATTTGTTTATTTTTTTTAGTAGAGACAGGGTTTCACTGTGTTAGCCAGGATGGTCTCAATCTCCTGACCTCGTTGATCCACCCACCTCGGCCTCCCAAATTGCTAGGATTACAGGCGTGAGCCACCGCTCCTGGCCGGTCCTGTAGCTATTATTTCCTGTTTTTCTCTCTTGTTCTCTTTCTTAGCGTATTATTGATCTTTATAGTGACATGTTTTAATTCTTTTCTCACTACTCTCTCTGTGTGTATGTCTTTGTGTGTGTGTACTATAGGTATTTCCTTTTTTTTTTTTTTTTTGACAGGGTTTTGCTCTGTCACCCAGGCTGGAGGGCAGTGGCACAATCTCTGCTTATTGCAAGCTCTGCCTCTCAGGCTCAACTCAAACAATCCTCCCACCACAGCCTTCTGAGTACCTGGGACCACAGATGTGCACCAGTACTCCTGGCTAATTTTTGTTATTTTTCATAGAGACAGGGTTTTGCCATGTTGCCCAGACTAGTCTCAAAATCCTAAGTACTATAGGTATTTTCTTTGTTGTTACTATAGATATTACCAAAAATAACTACTATAGCATATAAAACCCTGCCTCTTTATGGCTGCCTATGTGTTTTATTGATGTCGCGAATTACATCATTTTGTATTGTGAATCTATTGGCACAGTTATATAGTCATTTTTAAGTCTTTGTTATCTCAACTACATAGCAGAATTAAAAGTATTCTGTGCATCTTCATTATAATAACAAAGAATATTATAATTGTGTACATAATTATCTGTTAGAAAACTTTATATTTTACATAATTCTGTGTTGCTCTCATCATTATTTTATTTTTTAATGTCAATGACTAGCATTTTTTTATACAGGCCTACTGTGCATAAATTAATACAGTTTTTGTTGATCTTGAATATTCTTTATTTTTATTTTTTAATTCATTTGAAATGATAGCTTTGGCAGACATAGTGTTCTTGGTTGGTACTTGCCATTTTTTTCAGCACTTTGAGTATGTCATCCTACAACCTCTTGCCTGCATGCTATTGGCTGAGACATCTGCTGGTCATCCTATAGGGGTAACATTGTACATGCTAAGTCATTTTTTCTTGCTGACTTCAAGATTCTCGGTGTTTTAACATTTGAATCTCTGATTAAAATGTGTCTTGTCATGGGTCTCCCTGTGTTGCTACTAGTTGGTAAAGTTTCATTAAATTTTAGGCCATTTTCTCCTTCAAATTTTGAGAGTTCTCAGCCACTGTTTGTTTCTTGAAATAACTTTGCTGCTCTCTTTTCTCTCTTTTTATTTTAGAATTCCCATTAGAAGTATATTGGCCATCTTAATGGTATCCCATAAGTCCCTTAGGCTCTCTTAATTTTTAAAATTATTTTTACCCTCCTCACCATATAATTTCAAAAGACTTCTTATGAAGCTTGCTGGATTTTTTCCTGCTAGATCAAACCAGTTGTTGGACCTTCTAGTGAATCTCTAAATTCAGGTATTTTATTTTTCAGCTCCACACTTTATGTTTCTATTTTGTACTTTTAATCACTTCATTGATAATCTCATTATCTTCATGAATTGTTTTCTTTTTCTGTTTAGCTTTCTATGTTCTTCTTTAGCTGAATGAGCATCTTTAAGCTAGGTGTTTTAGCCAGGCACAATGATATGTGTGTCTAATTCCAGCTACTTTGAAAGCTAAGGCAAGGGGATTACTGTATTAATAAATTCTCATGCTGTTAATAAAGACATAACCAAGACTGGATAATTCATAATGAAAAAGGTTAATGGCCTCACAGTTTCACATGGCTGGGGAGGTCTCACAATTATTGGAGCAAGCAAGAGACTTTGTTCAGGGGAACCTCCACTTATAAAACCATCAGATCACGTGAGACTTTTTTGCTATCATGAGAACAGCATGGGAAAATCCCACCCCCATGATTCAATTACCTCCCACAGGGTCCCTCCCAGGACATGTGGAGATTATTACAATTCAAGATGAGATTTGGTTGGGGACAGAGAGCCAAACCATATCAATTACTTAAGGCTAGGAGTTTGAGACCACCCTGGGCAATATTGTGAGAAGCTATATGTAAAAAATATTTTTACAGATTAATCATGAATGGTGGAATGTTCCTGTAGTCTCGGAAGTTGGAGGCTGATGTAAGATTATTCCTTGAGTTCCCAGGAATTTGACGCTGCATTGAGTTATAACCATGATATTGTATTCCTGTCTGGGTGAGAGAGTAAGACCGCCTTTTAGAATTTCAAATTTGTTTTAGATTTAGGAGGTACCTACACAGGTTTTTTACATGGGTATTTTGTATAGTGCTGAGGTTTGAAATATAAGTAATTCCATCACTTATGCAGTGAGCATAGTACTAAATAGACAGTTTTTCAGTTCTTGATCCCTCCCTCTCTCCACCCTCTAAGAGTTGTCTTTTATTTTTATTTTTATGTCCATGTGTACCCAGTGTTAATTTCCATTTATAAGTGAGAACATCAGTATTTTTGTTTTCCATTTCTGCATTAATTTGATTGTAGAATGACCTTTAGTTGTATTAATGTTGCTGCAAAGGACAAGTTTTTTTGTTGTTGTTGTTGTTTTTGCTAAGTAGTATTGCTGTACATGTGACACTTTTTAAATTCAATTTAGCATTAATAGGCTGGACACGGTGGCTGATGCCTGTAATCCCAGCACTGTGGGAGGCCAAGGTGAGTGGATCATGAGGTCAGGAGATCGAGACCATCCTGGACAGCATAATGAAACCCCCGTCTCTACTGAAAATACAAAAGTTAGCCGGACGTGTTGTCATGAGCCTGTAGTCCCAGCTACTCGGGTGGCTGAGGCAGGAGAATTGCTTGAACCTGGGAGGTGGAGGTTGTAGTGAGCTGAGATAGTGCCACTGCACTCCAGCCTGGGCAACAGAGTGAGACTTCATCTCAAAAAAAAAAAAATACCATTAATAGTCACGTAGGTTGATTCATGTCTTTCCTGTTATAAATAATGCAGTGATGAACCAACAAGTGCATGTGCTGTTTTGGTAGAATAGTTTATTCTCTTCTGGGTATACACCCAGCGGTGAAATTCTGCGTTGAATCATAGTTCAACTCTCAGTTATTTGGAAAATCTCCAAGCTGCTCTCCACAGTGGCTGAACTAATTTATATTCCTATAAACAGTGTATAAGTGGTTTTTTCCCTCTAAAACCCCACCAATATCTACTATCATTTTACTTTTTAACAAAAGCCATTCTAACTGGTGTACGATGGTGTCTTACTGTGGTTTTTATTTACATTTCCTTGATGGTTAGTGATAAGCTTTTTTCATGTTGTTTGGCCACTTGTATGTATTCTTTTGAACATTGTCTGTTATTGCCCACTTTTTCATGGGGTAATTTTTTGCTTGTGAATTCTTTAAGTTTCTTATAGATTCTGAGTATTAGATTTTGTCAGGTTTATAGGTTGTGAATATTTTTGCCATTCTGCCAGCTTTGGGGTTAGTTTGTTTTTGTTTTTCTAGTTTCTCTAAGTGTGATGTTAAATTGTTAGTTTGAGATCATTCTAACTTCTTGATGCAGGTATTTAGCACTCTCAACTTTCCTCTTAACAGAGCTTTTCCTACAACCCAGACATTTTAGTATATTGTGTCTCTTCATTTATTTCAAATTTTTTTTAAGTTTCTGCCTCAATTTTGTTGTTTACCCAAAATTCATTCAGGAGCAAGTTGTTTAATTTCAATGCCATTCTGTGATTTTGTGAGATTTTGTTGGTATTGATATTTATCTTTTTTCCATTGTGGCCTGACAGTATGGTTGGCATAATTTTCATTTTTAAAAAATGTATGGATAATTGCTTTATGGCTAGGAAGTGGTCAATCCTAGAGTATATTCTGTGAGCGATGAGAAGAATTTATGTTCCTTAGATGATGTGTGGTGTATACTATAAATGTCTATTAGTTTCAATTGATCAAGTGCGAAATCAAACTCCAGAATTTCTTTGTTAAGTTTCTGCCTAGATAATCTGACAAACACTGTTATTGGGGAGTTGCGTTTCCCTACTATTATTGCGTGGCTACTTGAGTCTTATTGTAGGTCTAGCAGTACTTGTTGTATAACTCTATGTTCCCCAAAGTTGGGTGCATCTATATTTAGGATAGTTAAGTCTTCTTGTTGAATTGAACTCTCTATCGTTATGCAATGCCTTTCTTTGTTTTATTTTACTATTAATGATTTAAAGTCCTTTTTTCTTAAAAGAGAAACAATTCCAGGTATGGTGGCTCATGCCAGCACTTTCAGACTGAGGCAGTAGGATTGCCTGAGACCAGGAGTTTGAGACCAGCCGAGGCAACATAACAACATTCTGTTTGTACAGATTCTTTTAAAGAAACTATACAGGTGTGGTAGTGTGCCCAACTGTGGTCATATTTACTCAGGAGACATAGGAGGCATGACTGCTTTACTTCAGAAATTTGAGGTTACAGTGAGCTGTGATTGCACCACTGCCATCTGTCCCAGGAGATAGAGTAAGATCCTGTGTATAAAATGAAAAAATAAAGAAAAATAAAATGATTTTAAGTTAAAAAATAATTCATAGATCTCCACTTCTTTAGGGTCACTTGAATATATATTTTTCTCGTTTCATTAGGCTATATTTCCTGGTTGCTTTTAAGTACTGTGGTTTTGTTAAGGTTTTGGTCAATTAAGAAACCACTACCTATTTTATCCTTTATGAAAAAGCTTTGTACATGGGAAAATTGACAATATTCAGCCACACTAGTCATTCCGGGAGCTTCTCCAATCTGTTGTCAAAATGTGTCTTCTTTGTACTGTATGTATTTTCTTGTTAATAAGGTTTACCTCTCTTTCCTCTTAGGAGCCTTTAGTCTCTTCTCTTTGTCACTGTTGCAGGCACTACAGTCTCTTTGTTGTAAGAAATATTTATCTTTATTCTCAGTCGACCCAAGCTGTCATTTAAACTCTATCTCTATTCTGGTCAACACTAAATGTTAAAGGTATAAATCAATAAGTCAGAAGTTTGCATACACGTTTCACTCTGTTTTCTTTCCCGAGGGAGAATCATGGAATGGACAGAATTTTATCTAACTGCACTGTTCTGTAGTGCAGAAATGTAACCAAATTTTCTTTCTTCTAAATGTGGTTATGGTTGGCTTTTTTCTCATGAGGGGTGCTACAAACTCAACTGGCTTTGCTCACCCAATTGCAGTTAAGTTCATACATCCATTGAGAGAAACAGGATCTCAGGTTCTTCTTCAACTATCATTGTGTTCTCAGCTGGCCTCATTTTGTTCATTAGATTTATAAAATATATTTACCTTAATTTCATCACCGAATTTTTTAAAAAATTATTATTTTCCAGCTTTTAGCATTATATCCAACAAGACCTAGACAAAACAGTACATAGGAGCTTCTTTTCAAAAAGTAATATTGGGAAGATATGGGAGCTCTGGCCTTGAAAATTTACACTTAAGGAGAGTGGGAAATTGAAGGATAAGTGTAAAGGGTACAAAGGATGCTATGATGAATATACCAGATATAGAGCAACTACCTACAGCAAAAATGTCACTGCTAGAAGAGCTCAAAACCATAAAGTATTTTGGAAAAAGCATAATTAATGTTGATTCTTTTTTCTGAACTATATATTTGTATAATTACATATCAATAACAATTTTTGAAACATCATGTTTTTGAAACAAAATTTAGAAAATCGCAATAGTGGCCTAGGCCAGGAATATATCTTCTAATGCTATCCCTCCCATAGTCCCCCACTTCCTGACAGGCTCCAGTGTGTGGTGTTCCCCTTCCTGTGTCCCTGTGTTCTCTTTGTTTAACTCCCAACTATGAGAGAGAACATGTGATGTTTGCTTTTCTACTCTTGTGTTAGTTTGCTGAGAATGGTGGTTTCCAGCTTCATCCATGTCCCTGCAAAGGACATGAACTCATCCTTTTTATGACTGCATTGTATTCCATGATGTATACATGCCACATTTTCTTTATTCATTCTACCACTGATGGGCATTTGGTTTGGTTCAAAGTTTTTGCTCTTGTGCACAGTGCCATAATAAACATATGTTTGCATGTGTCTAAGTAGTAGAATAATTTATAATCATTTGGTTATATACCCAGTAATGGGATTGCTGGATCAAATGGTATTTCTCATTGTAGATCCTTGAGGAATTGCCATACTGTCTTCCACAATGGTTGAACTAATTTACACTCTCACCAACAGTGTAAAAGTGTTCCTATTTCTCCACATCCTCTCCAGCATCTGTTGTTTCCTGATTTTTCCAATGATCACCATTCTAACTGGAGTGAGATGGTTTCTCACTGTGTTTTTGATTTGCATTTATCTAATGACCAGTGATGATGAGTTTTTTTTTCATATGTTTGTTGGCTGCATAAATGTCTTCTTTTCAGAAGTGTCTGTTCATGTCCTTTGCCCATTTTTGATATGGTTGTTTGTTTTTTTCTTGTAAATTTGCTTAAGTTTTTTGTAGATTCTGCATATTAGCCCATTGTCAGATGGATAGATTGCATAAATTTTCTCCTTTCTGTGGGTTGCCTGTTCACTCTGATGATAGTTTCTTTTGTTGTGAAGAAGCTCTTTACTTTAATTACATCTCGTTTGTCAATTTTGGCTTTTGTTGCCATTGTTTTTGCTGTTTTAGTCATGAAGTCTTTGCCCACGCCTATGTCCTGAATGGTAATGCCTTTGTTTTTTGGGGGGTTTTTATGGTTTTAAGTCTTACATTTAAGTCTTTAATCCATCTTCAGTTAATTTTTGTATAACTAGTAAGGAAGACGTCCAGTTTCATTTTTTTGCATATGGCTATCTAGTTTTCCCAACACCATTTATTAAATAAGGAATCCTTTCCCCATTACTTGTTTTTGTCAGGTTCATCAAAGATCAGATGGTTGTAGATGTTTGATGTTATTTCTGGGGCCTCTGTTCTGTTCCATTTGTCAATATATCTGTTTTGGTACCAGTACCATACTGTCTTGGTTACTGTGGCCTTTTAGTATAGTTTGAAGATAGCTAGTGTGATGCCTCCACTTTTGTTCTTTTTGCTTAGGATTGTCTTGTCTATGCAGGATCTTTTTTGATTCCATATGAAATTTAAAGTAGTTTTTTTTTCTAATTATGTAAAGAAAGTCAATGGGAGCTTGATGGGGATAACACTGAATTTATAAATTACTTTGGGCAGTATGGCCATTTTCACAATATTGATTCTTCCTATCCATGAGCACGGATTGTTTTTCATTTGTTTGTGTCCTCTCTTATTTCCTTGAGCAGTGGTTTGTAGATCTCCTTGAAGAAGTCCTTCCCATCCCTTTTAAGTTGGATTCCTAGGTATTTTATTCTCTTTGTAACAATTGTGAATGAGAGTTCATGCATGATTTGGCTCTCTGTTTGTCTATTATTGTGTATAGGAATTCTTGTGATTTTTGAACACTGATTTTGTATACTGAGACTTTTTTGAAGTTGCATATTGGTTTAAGGAGATTTTGGGCTGAGACGATGGGGTTTTCTAAATATACAATCATGTCAGCTGCAAACAGAGACAACTTGAGTTCCTCTTCCTATTTGATTACGCTTTGTTTCTTTCTCTTGACTGATTGCCCTGGCCAGAACTTCCAATACTATATTGAATAGGAGTGATGAGAGAGGGTATTCTTGTTTTGTGCAGATTTTCAAAAGGAATGTTTCA
Organism: Homo sapiens; assembly: GCF_000001405.40. Taxonomy (NCBI): domain Eukaryota; kingdom Metazoa; phylum Chordata; class Mammalia; order Primates; family Hominidae; genus Homo; species Homo sapiens. The sequence goes on along the minus strand of NT_113930.2, from coordinate 116,489 downwards.
AGTTTTTTCCCATTCAGTATATTGGCTGTGCGTTTGTCATAAATAGCTCTTAATATGTTGAGATAAGTTCCATCAATACATAATTCATTGAGAGTTTTTACCATGAAGAGGTGTTGAATTTTGCTGAAGGCCTTTTTTGCATCTATTGAGATAATCATGTGGTTTTTGTCATTAGTTCTGTTTATGTGATGGAATACATTTATTGATTTGCATATGTTGAACAAGCTTTGCATCCGAGGGATTAAGCTGACTAGATCGTGGTGGATAAGCTTTTTGATGTGCTGCTGGATTCGGTTTGCCAGTATTTTATTGAGGATTTTCGCATCGATATTCATCAGGGATACGGGCCTGAAATTTTCTTTTTCTGGTGTGTCTTTGCCAAGTTTTGGTTTCAGGATGATGCTGGATGCATAAAATGAGTTAAGGAGGAGTACCTCTTTTCTATTGTTTGAAATAGTTTCAGAAGGAATGGTACCAGCTCCTCTTTGTACCTTTGGTAGAATTCGGCTGTGAATCCTTCTGGTTCTGGACTTCTTTTGGTTGGTAGGCTATTAGTTACTGCCTCAATTTTAGAACTTGTTATTGGCATATTCAGGCATTCGACTTCTTACTGGTTTGGACTTGGGAGGGTATATGTGTCCAGGAATTTATCCATTTCGTCTAGATTTTCTAGTTAATTTGCAAAGAGTTTTTTATAATATTCTCTAATGGTAATTTTTATTTCTGTGGATCAATGGTTATATCCCCTTTATCATTTCCTATTGCATGTATTTGATTCTTCTCTTCTTCCTTATTACTCTGGCTAGCAGTTTATTTATTTCTTGATCTTTTCAAAAAAACAGCTCCTGGATTCGTTGATTTTTTGGACGGGCTTTTTGTGTGTCTATCTCCTTCAGTTCTGCTGTGATCTTAATTATTTCTTGTCTTCTGCTAGCTTTTGAATTTGTTTGCTCTTGCTTCCCTAGATTTTTAATTGTGATATTATGATGCCGATTTTAGACCTTTTCTGCTTTCTCTTGTGGGCATTTAGTGCCATAAATTTCCCTTTGCACACTACTTTAGCTGTATCATATTTTAATTTTTAAGCCCTCAATCTTTCTTTTTCATCATGACAGTCTTGACTGTTTTATGTTTATGAAAACTGTAAAATTGTCTACACAGTTTTTACAAAGACTTTACCAAAATATTTTATTGAGAATGTACAAACCTGTCAGTCAATTAGGGGAGAAGTTGCATTGTAGTAATAAATAGCCACAAAACAAAACCCTGAAGGACATCCAAACCAGAATAAAACAAAACATTTTAACAAAGAGAAAAAGAACAATCTCGCAACAAATATGTGCAGTTTATATCACAAAGATGTTCACATCTCCACTTTAAAGAGAGCTTTTAGAAGTTGATTTAAAATATGGGAAAAGACATTATCCCACACCACAGAAAAAATAAATTTAAGCAGCTCTTAACACATGAACGTATTATCAAGCTCAGATGGAATCAAAATTAAATATTTGACAACAGATTCTACAGTTTGAGAGAAATAGAAAAGTGTTTTTTTCTTTTCTCCAGGTCCACAAGTCTAGTTTCTTGGACTCTCTCACTATAATGGAGGTTGTCATCAGCTCCCCAAAATAAGGGAAGCACAGAGCAGATGGTGGCTGAAGGTGGGGAATCCTGTGAAATCATATTTAAGATCATAGCCCGTGGTCCATTGTATTGTAATCAGCTGGCTCAGGAAAGAAGATCTGGATCTCCTGAGCTCTACACCTACTGCAATGGATATGTCAGGAGTCCCGAGAACCTCTGGGGCCCAAACCCCTCCCACCAAAATATATCATCCAGTATTGAGGACTCTGACACCAAATTCTCACAGAGCATATGCTTATGCAATTTTACATTTAATTTCTCATTACATTACAATTGGGAAAATGAGGCCCCAAAAGAGGCAGGGACTGATCCAGATCTCAGGAGGTGGGCAGGCTCCAGAGCATTAGAGAGAGCTCCAGCTTCCTAGGCCTTGGCTCCATCCCACCTATCAGGTTTGCTTTGGAAGTTAGAGCCTGTAGCTTCACATTCAGGGGCACAGAGAATGAGCAGATCCAGGGTTCTGTTCACATGGGGACCTCTCCATGTCAATTTCAAGATGACAGGACTGGGGTTTTGCATCCAGCTCTGAGGGCACCTGGAAGTAAAATGAGCTATGCTCCACCTCAGCCTAATGTAGAGAATGCCTGCAGGAAAGCCTGTTTTCTTCCTCATAAATAGGGCTGTTTGAACTGGGTGACCTCGACGATTTCACATACTCATAAGTGTCTTCCAGCCCTGATTCTTGCTCTGAGACTGTGCAGAAATGCATCCACTCTCTGTAGGTCCTTCAAATCAGAGGGAGGCATGGCCACTTCAGAGGCATCTTGGGTAGATGAAGATGAGACGGAGCTAAATGTTCCAGAGCACTGGACTCTGAGGCTGAAGTCCACGGAAAATCCCAGCTCCTGTTGGGTTCTTAAGGTCCTCATTTGAAAGTGGTAGAAACTAATTTCACTGGATAAGGGGAGGATATCTCATGGATAAATAGCACAACCCAAAAGGTAGAGGCAAATAGAAGGCAAAGGGGGATTCCAAGGTCACTCATTGTACTTGGGGCCTTCAGATTCTGCTACTTTATCCCCTAGGACCTTGAAGAACCAGTGTCTTGAGGACAGAAAAATCAAGATACCTGATTTGTTCCATAGTGCTCCTGCATTGGGCCATAGAGTTAGTGATGGCCTGGAGGTGGTTACAGCCAGCTCTGTTTCTGGTGCCCACTGAGCTTTGCTGGAGCAGCTGGAACAAGTAAGAGTCACACATCTCATGTTGTTATCAATGATCTCCACATTATCAGGTGGTCAAAAGAGGAAGGGATATTAGAGATCCTCCATATAATCACTTAGCCAGTCTTTTTTCCCTTGCGCTCACCCTTTGCCAGCTAACCAGGTGGGTGCAACGTGGTACAGAAAATTATTACATGATGCCTGCACCCCCCAACCCAGGACCAAACATTCTGAGGACAGCTGGATAAAAGCACTAAAGCAAGTATATGTGAAAGAAAAGAGGAAGGACTATAATATAAAGTGGAATGTTGAGAAGAAAAGCTGGAAAATTATTGCATGGGAGGAACTAAGGCCTCATTGTGGTGATGTTTAATCCATGATAAGGATGACAACAGGGAGACATCTCTGCACAAGTATGTGTCAGGGAGAAGCCACCCTTAGTGAAGAGACTCATAGGTGTGAGTTCGGCAGAGGTTAGAAAGTTTGGCTGCAAACAGCCTGAGGAAGATATAAGTAGAGGGATGGAGAATCCTAGGGCCTGGGAGATGAAGTTAGATATCTGCTCCTTTCTGACAACATTGCCCTAAAAGTCAGCACTTTTCAACAACATATAATATCTCATAATTTATGTGGACCAGAATCTGGACACAGTTCAGTTGGGTACCTCTGCCTTTAGGTCTTTTATGACATTGGGACTGTGGTCTTAACTGAAGCTGGACTGGGAAAGCATGAGCCTTTAAGCTGACTCATGTGAAAATTGGCAGGGTTTAGTGTGGCTGGAGAGCCTGACTTTCCTTCTCTCTACTGGTCTGAGCACCCCCTCAGGCTCTGTTATGTTGGTCTTTACATGGAGCATCTCATAGCATTGAAGCTTGCTTCCTGTGTTTGAGGTATACAATAGAGAGAGAGAATTAGACAAAAAGGTGTACACAAAAAGAGACAGAGAAAGATTGAGGGCGCAAACAGGAAAAACCCAGTAGGAGAAAAATGAGAGCTTTAGAAAAATCTTGACAGGGTGCGGTGGCTCACACCTGTAATCCCAACACTTTGGGATGCTGAGACGGGTGGATCACCTGAGGTCAGGGGTTTGAAAGCAGCCTGGACAATATGGTGAAACCACCGTCTCTTCTAAAAGTACAAAATGAGCAAGGTGTGGTGGTGCATGCCTGTAATCCCAGCTACTTGGGAGACTGACGCAGGGGAATCATTTGAACCTGGGAGGCGAAGGTTCCAGCAAGCCGAGATCACACCACTGCACTCCTGCCTGGGATACAAGAGTGAAACTGTCTCAAAAAAAAAAAAAAAGGAAACAAAAATCTTGAGAGTTCCAATAATTTTTCTCCTGTATTTATGTTAAAATTGTAACCCCCGTTGTAATGCTATACGGATGAAAGATGTACTTAACTCCTGAGGGTGGGACCTTCATAATAGAGATTACTGGCTTTATACAAGGAACCGCAGAGGGCTCTCTTCCTCCTTCTGCAAAATGATGGTAAAACTTGAAGTCTGCAGTCTGAAATTCAGAAGCGAGTCATCACCAGAGCTCAACCGTGCTGACAACCTGATCTCAAATTTCGAACCTATAGAAGTATGAGAAATTAAGTCCTGTTGTCTATAAGCTGCTTATCTATGGTTCTTTGGCATAGCAGCCTGAACTAATACAAAAGTGATATCCTTTTCTGTATTTCATTGGACAGAAGCTGAATTTGTACCCCTATGCTGTTAAAAAAATGACTTAAAATGGATTTTCAGAATGAAAGATAGGAAATGGCTTGTTGAAACACTAAAATTTTATGTGCTTATAAGATTTTTAAACATTGGCTGAAATTGTTGGAACTGATATGGCCAAATGAAGTCCATGAAGAATCAGATTGCATATGTTAGAGCCCAAATTTCCATTGTGTGTTTCATACTAACTCTCCCTGAATTTGCATGTGACTTGAGAGGAAGCAAGAAGAGATGACAGTATATGTCTCATGACTTTCCATATTCCTACTTTCCTTCCAGCAATCCCTTACAGAACCCACCTCTTAGGCCTTTTCTAATCACTGCCTTAAAGCCAGTATAAGAAAACAAATTTCAGCTGGACTGCTATCTCCTTTTTGGCCAACCTACAACATGATATTTTCCTCAAAACCCAAGGGCCATATTACTGTCATCAGGCTGTAGGCCATTTTATTCAATAAAAAACTGAGTCACTAACCACCTAGTACTGTGAGATTTTGTGAAGAGTTTCCCTGTCATAGACGTGAGAAGGCACATGGATATGATTCTAAATATAAAGAGAAAGCACTAGAAAGTTGAATGGCTGTATTAGGACTTTGTCATACTGCAATGATGAAGTACTTGAGACTGGGTAATTGATAAAGAAAAGAAGTTTAATTGACTCACAGTTCCACATAATTGGGAGGGCACCTCAGAAACCTTCCAATTACAGTGGCTGACAAGTGAAGTGAGTGAGAGCATGGGATGTACCAGATGCTTATGAAACTATCAGATCTCATGAGAACTCACTATCACAAGAACAGCATGAGGAGAACCCGTCCCCATAATCCAATCATCTCCCCTCAGGTTTCTCCCTTAACACCTGGGGGTTATAATACACAGAGAAGTTTGGGTGGAACACACAGCTAAACTATATGAATGCCAGAGGACAGTATCTACATTTAATTTCAACTTCATACTGGAGCAGAATGAAAATGAAGCGCAGTGGAGAAGTGACATTCCCAAGATCACCCTGCCAGACCCAGGCTTGTTTGAGTTGTGGCCCATGCTACCTTCTACATATTCTCCTAATGCTTCCATCTCTAAGTGTGTGCATTATCTACAGGTAACACCACATGATTTTTATGTTTTATCTTATATACATCTAATACAATCCCTAGGAAGTAGATGTTAGCATCATCCCCACTGTGTATGCTTGGAGGCTGGGGAAGCCTCAAATACACAGTGACTTTTATTGGGTCCCAGAGATGGTAAGAAAAACAAGGTTATGTTCCAGCTGTCTCTTATATCCTGGAACCCAGGCTGCATTTAGTTCTTTCCAAGGAATTAAGGGGAAGTTGTGTTTGCATACTTGTGTACAAATGAAGAGTTGACATGGAAGAGGAGACTGAACAATTAGTAGCATAGTGGGGCTTTTGGGTAGGTCTTACAGAAAGAAGGGACCCAGTAGATGGAACCTTGAAGAGTTTAACACACTTTCTTGGTGACAACCCAACATCAGTTAAGAAACCAGGAACCCACATTCTTGAGACAGCTCTGTATCCACCTCTGTTAGTGAGAGATGCTCAAGAGAGTGAGATGTTCTTTCATTGTGCCCTGAAATTTCTGAGTTTTGACTTTACAAAGGCTCAGTGTAAAAGCCTTATCTGAAAACACGGATGTCAACTCAGGCCTCATCATTGATGCCCCTGGCTATTGGCTGGGTGCACCTACAAATAACACAGGGCAGCTCAGGACAGGCCCCAGAGCCAGGCCTCTCTTGTCAACTCATCTGGGAAGTCCCACACCATTTCTTAGTACCATGAGTTGTATGGGGAGCAAGAGGGAGGGCACTCTTCTTTTACTGAAGCAGATTGTCAGGTGTTGGAACCCTTGTGTACCTGTCATGTTCATACCTAGGCCATAGCTGGCAGAATAAAAAGAAGAGGGTTGGAGAACGAGTCTGTGTACTCAGATGTGAATTCCAAGACTTTAACTTGTCCTCTGGTTTCCTTCCTTGCTGGAGATTCATACAGATTCTCCTTATGTGCCTAATCTGAAGAGCAGAATTTCTTTTCTTTTCTTTTCTCTTTTATTTTCTTTCTTTCTTTCTTTCTTTCTTTCTTTCTTTCTTTCTTTCTTTCTTTCTTTCTTTCTTTCTTCTTTCTTTCTTTCTTTCTTTCTTTCTTTCTTTCTTTCTTCTTTCTTTCTTTCTTCTTTCTTTCTTTCTTTCTCTTTCTTTCTTTCTTTCTTTCTTCTTTTTTTCTCTTTCTTTCTTTCTTTCTTTTTCTTTCTTTCTTCTTCCTTACTTCCTTCTGTCTTTCTTTCTCTCTTTTTCTTTTTCTTTTTCCCTTTTTGAGGAAGCCTCGCTCTGTCACCCAGGCTGGAGTGCAGAGAAAAGCAGAATTTCTAGTGGAGGTGTCACATACGGTGAAAACAAGGCAGACCACTGACTTTTCTTTGCGTGGTTTCTAGGCACTTTTTACAGAGCTGCATTCAGATTGATGAGGAGCTTCTTGATGTGGCCAACTCCTCCCTCTTTTTGGAAAAAGACCAGGTGCACTAAGCCAGCAACCACAGCCAGCACCGGGCTGTGGTAAGAGCAGCCACATAGGGGTCTCTACAGACAGAAACCCGAGAAGACCGGGACAGACCCAGTACCCAGACTCCAGTATGAAAACTCTCTGGGCTGTGTCCTATGATCTTCCCATGAGTAACTCATAGTCTTGATCCAGTGGAATCTGGCCTTCATTAGTCTCAGTGGCAAGTTGGTTATGTGGAAAGTCTCTGTTCACTCACTTGGGTGAATAACAGTAAAGACCTTTCTATTGTTTTCACTTTACATTAGGCCATGAGTATTTGTGCCTGTAGCTGCAGTTTGTGTTAGTTTCCTACCCCAGGTATCTCCTGCAGCATGCAGCTTCAGTCCTACCAGACCCTCAAAACTTAAAAGCGAACACTATTTCTAGGGAGGATTTTGCAGGAAAATGGAGAAAGGGTTACACACAAAAAAGGTTAAACTACTCTATGCATGTTTCTGCAATGTGTTATCTCAAGAATTTATCTCTGTAGCCCATCAGGGCAGGAGCTGGTCTCTCACCTGTTGATAATATTCCATAAGGGAGGTTCTTCCCCACAGTGTTTAGTCTTCCGACGCTGGTATAGCCTGACATGATGACATTCTACTTTCATGTTGGTCGTGCTGCAGGGAGAATTCTGTGAGTGTCCTAATAGGCTGGAATCACTTGCTAAGTTGAACCCCATCTTTGGTGCTCACTTTTCTGTTATCTTATAATTAGCTTTATTCTAAGCAAATCCATGTCTATTTTATTTATCTGTTTATTAACTTATTTTTATGTATGGAAAAACACATTTTTTTATTTGCTTATTTATTTAGAGACAGGGTCTCCCTCTGTCATCCAGGCTGGAATACAGTGGTAGATTGGAGTGATCATGGCTCATTGCAGCCTCAAACTCTTGAGCTCAAATGATTCTCTCACCTCAGCCTCCTGTGCCACCATGCCCTGCTAGTTGATTTTAATTTGTTATAAAGAAAGTGTCTCATTATGCTGCCCAGGCTGGTCTCAAACTCCTGGGCCCAAGCAATTCTCTCATCTCAGCCTCCCAAAGCACTAGGATTAAAAACATGAGCCACTGTACTGCGCTGTGCCTACTTCAAAGGACTGAAAATAAAAAATAAATAAATCTTTGCCAAATTAAAAAACAAAGCAATAGTTTCCAGGTCTTAGATAAAGACAATTCTCTGTCATGAAGAATGACAGAAGGCTTATTTAGCTGTTAAAATGATTTGCTTATATTTCAAAGAAGCAGAGAAAAAAAGGTACATGTAAAAGTGTTCCAGGCCACTCATGGTGGTTCATGCCTGTAATCTGAACATTTGGGGAGGCCAAGGCATGAGGATACCTTCAAGCCAAATGTTTGAGTCCAGTACAGGCAATATGGTGAAATTCTGTCACTACAAAAAAATAAAATAAATATGGCTGGGCATGTTGGCTCACACCTGTAATCCCAGCACTTTGGGAGTCTGAGGCAGGTGGATAATGAGGTCAGGGGGTGGAGACCAGCCTGGCCAAAATGGTAAAACCCATTCTCTACTAAAAATAATAATAACAAAAAATTAGCCAGACATGGTGGTGTGCGCCTGTAATCCCAGCTACTCAAAAGGCTGAGACAGGAGAATTGCTTGAACCTGGGAGGTGGAGGTTGCATTGAGACAAGATCATGGCACTACACTCCAGCCTAGCCCACAGAGCAAGACACTGTCTTGAAAAAAAATAAAAACAAAAATAAATAAAGCTAGCCAGGCATGGTGGTTCATGCCTATAGTCCTAGGTAATTAAGCGGTTGATGCAGGAGGACTGCTCAAACCCAAGAGGTTAAGGTTACCGTGAGCTATGATTATGCCGTTGCACTTCAGGCTAAGTAAAAGAGTAAGATTCTGCCTCAAAAAATTACTAATTAAAGTTTTCCAGATTACATTGTTTAAGAAAAAGGAAAAGAAAAAAATCTTTTTTTTATTTTCAAATGGGAGAATAGAGCCTCTCATTTCTAATTTGTATTGCCTTCTGCAAAAACTTAGTCTAGGCCCATGGTCTTGAACTACTGGACATCTGAATTTTGGTAGGTGCTGGATTCAGGCAACTGAGGGGTGGCCTTGGGCACACTGTGTGCACATAAAAGAAAGGGTTTGAGGTGAACTAAAAGGTAAAAGAGGGGAAGGTGCTATTAAGAAACCAGAAGTGAGAGACTGTACAGGGTTGGTGGGAGGACTGGTTCATGCTACAGACACTGACCCAGGTGAAACTTTTCTCTGAGTTATTTCTATGTTCATGCAGGAAGACGAGATTATGATCAGGTGGCACAGAAATCTGCGATGGTGAAAAAACCAGGTTGCCACTGCAGATTCGGTGTCTGAAGTAGAACATATGCCAGGGGTCTTGTAGGCACGTGTGTGGGTTTTTGGTGGGAAAGTCTATGAGGAAAGGTAGGATGGGCAACAATCTTGATGCCAAAGCCTTGTCCTGAGAGGGGCTTGACCACGTCAACATGCAGTGTGTATGTTCAGTGGGTGAAAAACATGTGGTGACCTCAGGTTGGCAGGAGGGTAGAAGGCATCTGTTCTCAGAACTTCTTCCCTCAGAGTCGTCGGTCCTTCTTACCATGGGAGGATGCCTGGAACCACAGGGCAGTGCATGGCGTAGCAGCCTGTGTGCAGAGCAGAACCTACCTTCCCCGAGACACCTGGAGTCTCTCTCCAGCAAAGGCCCCCACATTGTCTTTCTCCTTACAACACTTTTGATCCTAAATGTGTAAAGTTCCCTGAAAACCCACTGCTTCTCCAACACCCATTTCTTGCCCCAAAATTTAATTCTGACACAACTTAGAGTTCGCACAGATCCCACAAATTCAGGGCTAAGTCCCACATCACCCCTCTCACTGCAGAGGTTAGTCACATGTCCCATAAGCCCATCTATACTTCTGAGCTACTGCCTATAAATCTGAGACTCCCATAAACCCCTTTTCAAGTTAAATAATTTGATAGAGTTACTCAAAAAAACTCAACAAATAAGTCTAATTATATTTACCACTTTATTATAAAAATACAACTCAGAAACTGACAAATGAAAGAGATGTCTAGGAAAAGGAACAGTTGTGGGTGAAGGTAATCCTGGAAATAGCTATATTTAAAGAAATTCCCCCATTCTTTGTGTTCTCAAAGAACAGCTTAGTGAAGAGAAACGTGCTTCCCATTATGACTTTGTGGATGTTCCCCCCCCCCCCCTTTTTTTTAACCTATCACAAAGACGGACACAGATTACAAATTCCTATTTTTAAAAATGAACAACCATTCTGTAATTTAGTCTTCAGTGGTCAAAACAGAGTACTTGTTAACAAAACTTTGCTTGTTCCCCTTCTTCCCTCAGCCCCTGAACTTTGACTCACCCACAGCCTCAGAGAACCTACAACCCATATTTATACATATCCCTCCTAAGAACAGGCTGACTTCAAGATGAAACATTATCTTATCTGGGATCTGATTTTGCTACCCTCCATCCTGTGCTTCCTTTCCAACCTTCTTTGTAAACTTATTTTCTCCTCCCTATGAAATAAAACCCTTTTCCACCTAACCTTTGAGATCCTCAAAGATCTAATCATTTGTACTTTTTCCTTGTTACAACACTTCTTAAGTAACTTCTTAGACAAAGTCTATAAACAGTCTCAGGACAATAACAACTCCATTCTAGAAAGAATATCCCAACTTTTCTTCAATCTCAACCCCAACTGCATCTGCCTGTCAACTTCCAGCTTACCAAAGCTCTGTATCTTCTGACAGTGACAAAGGCTCCTTCTATGGTTGGTGTGAGCAGACTTTGATGTCTGCAGGGCAGACACCCAGGAATAATCAACTGGGCCTTCAGTGGCCCCCTTTTGCAGGGTCAACGTTAGCCTTAGCTTTTAGTCAACGGTCTAAGACTTCTACTTACCAGTTAAAGTCATTCAATTAGTTTTCAATTTAAAAAATACTTCATGTTTGAAGAATCCAGCAAAAATCATTCAAATCTAAGGTTTAAAAGAGAGGAAATTATGGTCGGGCATGGTGGCTCATGCCTGTAATCCCTGCATTTTGGGAGGCTGAGGCGGGCAGATTACCTGAGGTCAGGAGTTCGAGACCAGCCTCACTAACATGAAGAAACACAGTCTCTACTAAAAATACAAACTTAAACGGGGGTGGTCGTGTATTCCTGTAATCCCAGTTACTTGGGAGGCCGAGGCAGGAGAATTGCTTGAACCCGGGAGGTGGAGGTTACAGTGAGCCAATATCGTGCCATTGCACTCCAGACTGGGCAACAAGAGTGACACTAAGTCTAAAAAATAAAATTAAAATTAAAAAAGAAAGTTATAAGGGGCTTACATTTTATAACTCAACAAGAAAAGCCAAAGTATCTATCCCTTTCAGAAAATAAACATGTAATTTAATTATGTTCATAACAAATCATTTAGTAAACAATCATATGTGAACACTTCCAGGCGGTGCCAAGTCCCAGCTCCTAAAACTTAGCGTTACCCTCAAACACCCAGATGACAGCATATGGAACAGAGATACTCACTATCAGAAGTTCTCTGTTTTGAAAAAAGAATAACTGATGTGATAAATTTATGTAATTTAACAATTAATCTACCTCACGTGCTTGTAGGTATGTATTCATTTCCTACCACCGTAGTGGAAGAGAGACTATCCCTATCAATACACCTGGTAACATTCCCAACAGTAAGCCGTGAGATTCTGCTTGAAATCACCTCTCAGACAAATAAAAAACAGTCCTGGGAAATGTACGACACTCATTCTGCTAAAGAAATAGGCAAGTAACAATTTTTAACAAGTGAAATATATTACTACTTAATTTTATTCAAAATTCACCAACTTAATGTGCTTTATAAATATTTTCATGCCTTTCAAGCTCTACTGATAAAACATAGTTTACAGTTAATTAAAAAGTGAAGTTAAAGTAAGTACAAAAACATTTTCAAGGTGACAAAATTAGAAGGTGACAGTGCCGATTGAAACACAGACATATCAGACCCAAGGGTCAAGTCAAGCCATTCTATTACTTGGGATATTTTCCCCACTCACATCTGGTTCAGTGAAGTGGGTCATGACCATCCTACCAGGAGCCGCTACCCTGTGCTCCTCTGTGTCCCTGAGGTGCATTTTACTTTGCAGGTTTTTGCACTGCCTCACTAGGTTGGGTTTCTTTGTCCTTTGAAATATTTTCTCTCCCTTCACCAATCTGAGAACATTTTTTCCTCAATATCAGCATCCATTTGCCTGGCCTGCAATGTGTCTCTAAGGAATGGAAACTAAGCTTTGGGGTAAGAAAATCTTAATGACCTAATGGGTTTGCTTTTAGCGCAAGGGTATACCTAGAGATTCCTTCCAGGCACAGCTCAAACAACCACTCCACAGAGAGGCTGCATTCCCATACCTTGGGCTGTTCCCTGAGAGGAGATGACACAAGGGATGCTATTTACTAGACACTTCAAGAGTCATGGCCACTGTTGGCATCTTGGGGAATCCTCAAACAGTTTTGAAATTCAAAACCAAGAAAATAACAGGATGGCTGAGGATGTATTGCCCTGTGAAGTTTCCAAAATGAAACCTGAACCCAAAGGCTTTCTGATGGGGTGTCTGTGCCAAGAGAAGTTTAAACAAAGGGGCACAAAGGTTTTCCGCTTTTTATTTATTTTTTTTACAGTGGGGTGTCAGGGGATTATTCTCTGCTTTCATCTCCTGTAAAATGTTTACAAATGAGAAAAAATTTTTTTAAATGACATCCACTGCTTTTTGACAAAAAGAAGAATTGAAATACTGTGTCTGAAATGTACAATAAAGAACAGTTGATAATGTTGTGAATTATGGAAGGTTAGTTAGTGTTGGTGAGTGTCAGGAAAGAACTGGAAATTTAAAATCTGATTGCAAGCCAGAGTTAGGCTGGGGCAACAGGGAGTTAGATTTGAGTCTCTGCCTGCCACACATTTGGAAAATGCATGAGAAAACTAGTTCCCTTTTGGAGTGTTAAAATAACTAAAAAACAGGTGATTATGTTGAGGTGGCTCTAGTGTCCTGAGCTCTGAGTGGAGAGACAGGCCAAGGCCTCCGTACTTCCAAAAAGCTGCCCATTCTTCTCCAGCTGTGCACCTGATTAGATAGTTTCCACTCCAAGACCCATGATTGGATGTAGTTCAATTCCCTACCCTGCCGCCTCAGACCATGAGTGACATATGTGATTTGACACTGGGTTGAATAAAGCAAGAATTATAGGTTTTTCCTGGATCCTTTTCTAGCAGGGCTTCCTCTGTGAACTAGAAACTGGCCCTGCCTGTAAAATATTTGCATTTACATTTGTATGTAAGATTATTTGTATTAATGAATAATATATATGTGTTATTCATATATGGAATCAATATAATGACAATTGTTTTAAAATTTCAGATGTTTTACTTTCCTGGCACATCCAGGTTTTAGAGCAGGCAGCCTGAGATTTCAAAAGGGAGGCAATTCTTTAAGAAATAATATGAGAGGCACAAGTGAATTTTAAATATTCTGGTAACTACATTTTAATAAATACACCGGGCATGCTTCCCTGTGCCTGTAGGTCGAACTATTAGGGAGACTGAGGTGGGAGGATCACTTGAGACCAGGAGTTTGAGACCAGCCCAGGCAGCATAGAGAAAGCCATCTCTACAAAAAAAAAAAAAAAAAAAAAAAAAAAAAAAAAATTGAAAAATTAGCCAGGCCTGGTGGTGCATGACTTCAGTCCCAGCTACTCAGAAGGCTGGAGCTGGAGGATCACCTGAGCCTGGGAGGTCAAGGCTGCAATGAACCATGATCACACAACTGCACTCCAGCCTGGCTGACAGAGCAAAACTCTGTCTCAAAAAACTGATCTCTGGAAAGGCAATTTGTTTTTCTGCAATGTAGCCAAGCAGCTAAGTATGTATTGAAGCCATCCTTTAATTTTTAACAGGGCAAGAAAGCTTTCTAAGACCCCGAACTCCAGATATGCGATGGGGCAAATCCTGAAGCGTACATGGCTATCTCTCACAGCTAAAGCATCCCTCACCCCTATCCAGTGCTTCTTACCCCTGGCGCAAGAGAATCACCTGCGGGGAGGAAAACTTTCAAAATCCCTTAAACCCAAGTTGTAACCGCACAACTAAATCAGAATCCTTGGAGCTGGATCTGAAAAAAATATGGTTGAAAGTCGTGCAGGTGATTACAATGTGTAGGCAAGCCAGAAAACCATGGCTTTAACGAGCAGCTTTTGTTAGAAATGATTTCTCCAATGAATGTGAAAACGTTTGCTGCTGAATTGTGACCTTTCCATTTTATCTGCTTTTCCTGCAAAGTATATTTTGCAGACCCGGGCTGGCTTCTCCTTCTGTTCCTGGTTCACCCAGTGCCGTGTGTGCTCAGTGCATCCTGTGCACGGGTCACTGTGTGCCCTGGCCTGGGTGAGCATCATTCTTCGGGGAGAACCTTGATGAAAACAAAGCTGCATTCCAAAAAGTTAAAACCATGCTACTTACTGTGTTGAAGTAAAAATTAAAAGACCCAGGGGGGCTCACCCAAAAGTTAAAACATAAATAAATAACTTGGAACATTAACATACACCTGATGATGTCCTGAGTGAACACGCCCCACTTGAAAACAAAACAAAACATTGCTATTATTCTAAAATATTAATTTAGGATTGTTATGCAAACATGCACTCTTTACATTTTTATTGATAAATAACATGCATACAGCAATATAGGCACAAAGCATTTAGGGAATGTTTGATGAATTATTACTAAATAAATACACTTGTGTATCTAAGAATCAGATTTGTTCATGCCCCTGACACTTTCCCCTTCCCAAAGGTAACCAAGACCTTAAGAGCTAAGTGTAGATAAACTTTGTCATTTTGTACAAGTGTTTTATTACAGATCACTAAAAACATACACAATACAAAAAAAGTATAACAGACCAGTCACCCAGCTTTAACAGCTGCTAGTCATGTGTCATTTTTGTTTTATCTATACTTCCAGCCATGCCCCCACCCCCAATTTCATTATTTTTTAGGCTTTTTGGATAAAATGTATATTCATTGCAAGGTACAATGCGAACTGTAAATAGTAGAGAGATGGGGTTTTACCATGTTGGTCAGGCTGTTCTTGAACTCCTGACCTCAGGTGATCCACTCTCTTCCACCTCGCAAAGTGCTGGGATTACAGGCGTGAGCCAATATACTCGGCCTGAGAATTCATATTTCTAATAAAGTACAAATCCATAGGGCACATGACAACTGCAATGTCTATCTACAGTAAAAACAGTTTGATGAATAAAATGAAAGGCAATTGACTTAAGGTGGGAAAAAAACAATCAAAGCATGGGTACTATGTGCCATCTGTAGGAGCATTTGGTTAAGAATAACAAACAAACCAGTTTTATTGTTTTAATAACCGAAATTGGCAAAATTTCTAGTTTTTCTTTCATAGGAATGCTCTTAGCAAGAAAAAATTTTCATATGGTGAGAGCAAAAATGACAACCATTTGCAAGTAAATGTCTTATGAAATTAAGTAGCAGATATCAAGCTCATGACCTTCAGATTGTTACCCCTAACTCAATCATTTACATAGCAAGTGCAGATAATTTTCATAGTTCCCCATTAAAATTATACTTTACTCCCCTTACAAATTGTGACTGTTTTTAAATAAAGTTCACTAACTAAAATTTTGTATATGACATATGATAAATTTCCCTTCAAGTCACCTTATATTTACTTAATTGTGTTAGCCAGTGTCTGTCTACCTCCCAACAATACTTTGGGATTCTCCCTCCATTTGCACAGGCATCATAGCTGGGGAACAGGGATTCAAAAGACCCAGGCTGTTCCCTACATATGTTTCCTCCTCAGACATCAGTTAATCAGTCAATCAAGTCAAGTGAGAGTGGAGGCCATGTATTCCCTCTTATTCTTGGGCACTCTCCTCCAAGGAGGAAAAGGCCAGGAGGTCCTGTTAGAGGATGCACTCTGAGAGCCCGGGCTCCCTAAGGTATGAGAGTTCTAACCAGCAGGTGTAGACTTTTCAGGAGTGAGGAATGAGGCAGGCATTCCAAACCTGGAGCTTCATCACCTTTTGTTTCATCTCAAGACAATTCTGAGGGGCTGTTTTGGAGCGTGTCTGGAAGGTGAACGTTGAAGAAGAGTGTGGGCTTTGATGTGACTCAGATGAGATCTTTCATGGGGAGGCAGGAATTCAATGCCCAGAATCTGGGCTGGTGTCTTTGAGGTCAGTAGGTTGCCTCTTTGTATCCAAGTCCATTGTTACTAAATTGGAGGCTGGAGATTCTAAATGGCTTCCAGACCATCTCTCTGATTCTCTTTGGGAGATTGGGTCTGAAAAAGACAATGTCAGTATTTTTGGGAAATTCTAGAAAGTCTGCTTGGAAACCTGGGAAGACCTCTTGCCTAGTGCCTAAATATTCAATGTGCAGCTCTAGCCATGTAGATGCTTGGTAGGTATAGAGCTGGGTTTTCATTTATATCAGCAAAACCTATGTCAGAGTTGAAGAAGTAGTCAAGACAAAGTGTCTTGGTCGCAGGCCGGGGAACATCTTAAAAGCAAACTTCTAGCCTGATGACTCTTGGCAATGAGTGTTGGGTCCTGGCTAAAGTGCCTTGAATGCAGCATGAGGCCAATCCATGAATCCAACTTCCAATGGAGAAATGTTAATATTTTTTCAGTTTGAATCAATCAGGGTGAAATTACCTTGCTATTGGTTTGCTTACTTTTTATTATTTCATATAAAATCTAAGACAAAATACATTAAATGCTTATTGATATATGTATTTATTCTTCACCTGGCTCATAATATTTGCCTAATTTTAAACTTTCTTCTATTTTGTAGGTTTCAACTTATTTCATTGTAAGATATTGTTAAATCTAATACGGGCATTGTCACTTTTACAAATAATTTTATTTTATTTCATGTATTTCCTATTCACTTTTTACATTTAAATTATGGACCATTTCATCATATAAAAAGCTCCATTTCTATTTTAAAAATAAGTCTTTGGGTTTTTTTGTCTTGTAATTTCCATATTACATAGTAATGAGATAAACGTTAATGTTTTCAGGGTATTTTAAATTTTAAATAATTACTCATTATATCCACGTGAAATTTGTTTTTACTGCATGTGTGAGTTGGAGAACCGTTTTCACTTCTGACTCATCTTTACTGTGATCTCCTCAGAACTCATACCTCTTGTAGTTGGGAGATTGCAGTATATAATTCCAATAAATGGGGCAAATTCAATAATAACATAATACAAATGAGTTTGAAAGCAGGACATGTCTTCAAAGCATACACAACATGGGCCTATATATGTACAACAATAATAATTTATAAGTTACAGTTTGGATGGGAATTAAAAGTACAGAAAATTTGTTAAAATAAATTAAAATGGAGATCACGTCTCAATAATCTCTGAGCAGACGAAATTAGTTAGGTCTCATAAGTGATCTCAACCTTGCTTGATTTGCAAATACAAGCAAAACTTAAATATTTCTTGTAGCTGCCTATTTAAAAAAGAGAAATGAAGCTCAACCAATCAGGAGTAGCCAACATCCTTATATAAATAGAAACTGTCCAACAAGATAAACAGACGAACAAAAAACAATAAAAAAGTTGTGCTACCACCAATCAAATGATTTTTTTGTTTCTACATTTTTTCAATAAATACTTGCTTCTTACTCTGTCAGAGAAGCACTAAATAACTTTTGGTCTGATATTTTATAATTTATCAATTGCTCTTACTCAAATAGACACTTGGCAATTTCATTGTGTCTCAAATTACTTTTTAGCAGAATAAAATAAACTAGGAATAAACATTACAAAAATGTGTACAGAATATGAGAAAAACATAGAAAGTTTATGAAATATATGAATGTAGACATAAGCAAATAGACAATTTGTATCATATTCTTAGGCAGCAAATCTCAATATTATCAACATCAATTGTCCTTAAGTTTATTTATAAATTCAATTTTGTTCCTATACAGATACCATTAAATATTGGAAGTACACGTTACTATAAAATATTATATAGATGAAAACACACATAAGAATAGACAAGAAAACTCTGAAAAAAAAGCAAAAAACAAGACTGGCAAGCTCTGTGAAAAATCTTGATTGATTAAAAACTCATATGTCACTGAAACTAAAAATTCAGAAATAGACCAAAGTGCCTAAGAAAGTGTCATAGTGCATCCAGGCTGCTATAACAAAATACCTCAGACTGGGTAAAGGATAAACAACAGAAATGTATTTTTCACAGTTATGGAGTCTGGAAAGTGCAAGATCAAGGCAGCAGAAAATTTAGTATATGTTGAGAGCCCTGTTCCCCATAGATGGTACCATCTTGCACACGGGACAAGGGCATTGCCTTCAACTTCCCTTGAAAGAGCACTGATTCCATTCATGAAGATGAAGAACTCTTGGCCTCACCACTTCCCCAAAGGCCACACGCCTAAAATTATCCACATAGGAATTTGCAAAGGGACATAAACATTCAGGCCATCACAACAAAAACTACATGGGGGATGGCATCATTAATACTTGAGGTGTAAAAATGTGATGTTCTTATCGCAAAGGAAATAAATGATTTATTCTTCATGGCATATAACAAAATAAAGGTCCAAAGAAAATATTTTTTATGAAGATAAATCTATATGGTAAAAAACTAAGTGTTGATAAGGTTAACCCTACAGGTTGCATCAGGATTTTCAAGGTTTCTGGTGATGAGCAAGGCCCCAGAGTTTCCTCCTGTGACATTTACCTGGAAGTTGCTCATGCTGTTATTCAATTTGAAAGTAGATAATATTGTTTGTTTCTGTTCCAATATTTACTAAATTCAAAATAATATAGGGCTCTTTATGCGTAATTGTCAAACAGTCATTCAGTCAATGGTCCTCTGCTGAGGAAGAGCACAGATACATCCAAACACATATGATGTTCCTCAAATAGAGGACTTCTCCCTGTGCGGGAGTCACCTATGTTGCACTTGATCAGAGGCTTTCCCAGGCGAGCATTTCTCTGCAGCCCTACCACAGACTTAACCCTGGAAATCTGACTCAGAAGGTGATAGATGAACACCCAACCTAGCATTCTAATCTAATGGATCCTCTCTTAATAATCCCTTCCAGGGATCTGGGAGCTTTCCTGGATTCGTCTGCCACACACAGCTAGGCTAAAACATTTGGATAGAAGCTTTGATCCTCACTGGCCCTCCTGCCCTGTTCTACCAGCTTCTCTAGAAGTATGCTTCTCTAATTGATCCTGAGAGACCCATCTAAGGCTATCTCTCTGTGCCAATATAATTGATCTCATAAAGTGGGAAGAGAAACAGGCAAGAGTCCAGCTATGCTAGAAGCTGTGTCTAGGGTTCCTTATCTGCTTTATGTCTCTGATTTACCTAAATATTGACAAATACAGATTAATCTCTAGGTAGTAGAAAAACAGAAGGAGAAATCGCAGTTCACAGAAGAAGAAGAAAATGCAATCAGTAATTCCTAGAGTCCCGCTTAAGCTCAGCCACAGGGTACTAAGTCTCTTCAGGAAAAAGCAATGGTTGTCCATCATCTGAAAAACTGTGGCGTTGAACCATGGGCACCGAGAGTGCACACTGCCCACTAGAGTTCCATGCCTACATCACAGAGAGATAGAATAGTCTCAAAGGATTCTTAAGAGTAACGTGGAGACCAAAAGGAGCTGAATCCACAGCCTCTGTCTTACCGTCTGTTCTAATAGTATTTCCAGACTCTTTTGTGGGCTGCACCAGGGGTTATTCAGAAAGAAAAAAAGTTGTTAATGTCCCACCATTCCCCGTAGCTTCCGAGGTCTAAGTTGTTCATTTCCCACGTTCCAGGTTGTTGTTCTCCCTCTATCTCCACAGAATCAGTGTGTCTCATTCCGATATCTATAATCTCACCTTTATTCTAGTCGCCCTTTACTTTTTTCTAGACATTTTGTGTAGTAGAGCCAGGTAAAACAGATACAAGAATATTTACATAAAACTTAACCAGAACTAAGTTGGAGTCCCATAACTGCTGCTAGGCTGGGATGCAACTCAGAGGATACAAAAGCCAGGCTGGTCTAGAATTGCAGGTATGGGAAAGAAAGACATTTCACCCAGGAATTATTAGCACGAAATTCCAAATTTGTGAAATAGATTCCTAGATCCCCCAAACATTTCATCCTTATCTTGGAGGCAATCTGGAAGAGATAATCCCCTTTCAGAGAAAAGCATACCTAATCAACGAATTATCTAACCAACATGTGTGGAAAAGGAGGGAACATCGTAGAGTTGGCCCATTTTAGTCGATGTGGTGAAAAATGCCACGAAGTCAGAGCTCAATTGGCCTCAAAAGCCTAAAAGGTGGCACAGATTAGCTTCAAGGGACACATGGTATGGCTGGAGTCAGATGACTGTTATGCTGAAGAAGTCAACAGTGGTGACTGATATCTCAAGAAGTGGGCTAAAAGTCCACTTCTGGTTACTCTGCTAGGTATGGTCTAGGAATTCTTCAACCATGAGACAGATAGGTCAACTTTCACCAGCAACCCCAAGTCTGGTTTGCAGTATTAGACTCTGGGTTGGACACAGATTTAGGTTCAATCTGCAGCTTGATTGTGGTCACTCTCTGGAAAACACTTACCATGGACTTCTAGATGAGTGACCCAGTTAGATCAGCATCTGGGGTTGTTTCCGGTTTGCAGCCCAAAAGATATTCAGACAGTCTACACTTTCCATTGTAGATAACCAAACAGATAGAATATGTGCCATTATCCCAAACCCTGAGTTCTGACCTTTGAGAGGAGCAACCACTCATGTCAGGTTCTGTATGGCTGGCACAGGTTAAACAGCCACAGCGGCCCAGTGGACATCATGAGGTTTCACCTTCCCTGACTCATCTATGAACCAGGACCAGTCATATAGGAAACACTCAGTAAATTGGGGGCCCCACAGAGACAGCAGCTTTGCTTCAGAGGATAGAAGGAGGCACAAAATTTCAACCAGCTGGGGATGCCCTAGCCCTCTATAGGTCAAACTTAGTTTGTCAGGAGTTCTGTAGCAAGCTCTTAGCTGACTTTCAAATCAGTGTAACCAGTAGTAGTGTCAAGATAGCTCTGAGTCCAAAAGGCCAAAGAACACCTCTAGGTGGAAGCTAATCCTTTACTGGAGGCTCCAAATTTTAAAATCAAGATTTTCTTGACCTCAGGATGAACTGATCAATGCAAATCTCCCCAAATATTTTCACTAATCCTTAATTGGAAAGTAAGACTCCAGATTTTTTAACCTTCACTAAAAATAAATATCTGATTTTTTTTCACCTGGGATCTATGTATGTGTGTTGGAGCATGCTTTTACTAATCAGCATAAAGTTACAACTCTCCTTGTGCCTCTATTTTCTACTTGTGCAGAGTTTAAAGTACACAGGTGACAGCTTAGGGTTTTCTGGGTCTTTTGCTAAGCATGTACCTGACCCTGAGCATCCCCATTTCCCCATTTCTTTGTTGATCTCAAAGACCATTATCACAGTCCTAATTCCCAGGAGCTTTTCCTCCTAGAGCTTTTTGGCATGATTATTCTTAGACCCAACTGATATCCTTTGTTCCTGGTGAACTGGTAGCTTATTTCCATTTAAATGCTTTTACAAACATTAAGCTATTGATTTAAGATTTCTGTGCTTTTTAAATTAAGTAATGCTACTGTTAGCTTTCCACAGCAATTCAGGGTTATAAAAAAGGGAAGAAAATAATTATTTTATACCAATAGTAGGAAAAAGAGACTGGGGATGACTATATTAATAGCAGACAAAATAGACTTAAAAAGTTACAAGAGACAATAAGACATTATATAATCATAGAACGTGCATTTGGCAAGAAGATAGAAATAGTTTAAACACTTACATACCTAATAATAAAACATTTAGATATAGAAAGACTAAGTTGACAGAATTAAAGGGACAAATAGACAGTTCTAAAATAATAGTTGAAGATGTTAATACTCCACTCTGAGTAATGAATAGAAAAATGAGATGAATGACAAATTAGGAAATAGAGGACTTGACTAACTCAATGAACTAAATTGATCTAACAGATATATACAATATACTCCATCCAACAAAACAGAGTACACACTCTTCTCAAATGCACATGGGGAATTCTCCAGGATGGGCTGTATAGTAGATCTCAAATTAAATCAATAACAGATGAAATGCTAGAAAGTTTACAAAATTGTATAAATTAAACAACTACACAATTACAACTTAAAGAATTACAAAATTGTATAAATTAAGTAAAGGAAGAAATCACGGAAGAAGTAGGAACATACAGAGGAAGAAAAATGAAAACAAAACATATCAAAAGTTATGGGAAACAGCAAAAACAGTGTTAAGATGAAAAGTTTGCAGCTAAGATACATTTAAAAAGAGCAAAGATTTCAAATAAATAATAACTTTATCACCTAGTAAATTAGAAAAATAACACCAAATTAGATGCAAAGCAAAGAGAAAGAAGAAAGTATTGAAGATTTTAGCAGAGATAAATGCAATAGAGATTACACAAACAACAGAATTCCAAAAAACCAAAAGTTCACTCTCAGTTCTTCAAAAAATTAACAATTGGCAAAACTTCAGCTACACACACGAAAAATTAACAGCATATTCACATACTAAAATGAGTAATGAAAGTGGGACATTACTACTAATTCAAAGAAATAAAATGTTTAAAAAAGTGTACTGTGAACTATGATAGGATGATAAATTGGAAAACCTAGATAAAGTGGGCAGATTCCTACTTATGCAAGACTTGATTACAAAGAAATACAAAATCTGAATAGATAGAAAACTACTAAGGAAATGGAATCAGTAATTAAAAACCTCTCATGAAGAAAAGCCCTTGTTTTGTTGGCTTCACTGGTGATGTAGATCAAGCATTTATAGAACAAAAATCCTTTCCAAAATCTACCAAAATCCTGAAGAGAGCAGTTCCAAACTTATTCCATGATGCCAGCATTAGCTCATACCAAAGCCAGACAAAGAGACTACAAAAACCCATAGACTAATATCCCTTATGAACACGGATGCAAAACTACTCAGCAACATCCTAGCTAACCACATTCAGCAGCATACTAGCAAGATTACACCCCATGACCAAGGGGAATTTATTACTGGAATGTAAGGAAGATTTAGCGTATGGCTGGTTTCAGTGCAATGGTGTTTACAACTAATTGATCACAACCAGAATAGATTTCTTTATTCTTTTTCCAGTCTCACTGGTTCACTTAGCTAGCCTTTCTTAACAAAAGTTTTAGCATATGAAAAATAATCAATGCATATGACACATTAACAAAATTTTTAGAAAACATTATCTCATTAATACAGAAAATGTATTTTACAAAATTCAAAATATTTTATAATAAAAACAATAAATTACGAATAAAAGAAAACCATCTTTGTAAAATTCACGTATAAAAACCCACAGCAAACTACATGTTCTAGAGGAAAAGACCAAAATTATTTCGTCTAAGCTCAGAAGACAGAATGTCTGCTCTTGCCAGCCACTTTTATTCAACACTGTATTAGAAGTTTCATTCAGAGAAATTAAAAAAGACAATGAAATAAACTTCATCAAAGTGTGTACAGAAAATATATTCTTTTATGTAGAAAATCTTAAAGATTCCACACAAAAAATATTAAAATTAATAAATTCAGCAGAGTAGTAGCATACAAAATCAACATAGAAAAATAAACTGTATTTTATGTAGTAATACGAATAATCTGAGAAGAAAATTATGAAAACAACTCAATTTACAATAGCATCAAAAGAATAAAATTAGGAAGTAACCAAGAAGCAAAATGCCAATTATTTTGTGTAGATATTAAAAAATCAATTTTTAAGTTTATGAGGAATCTCAAGGGACCCTAAATTGCAAAAATAATTTTGAAAAAAAAATACCAAAGTTAGAGAAGTCACACTTAATGATTTCAAAACTTACTACAAAATTCCAAAATAGCATGCTACAAATAGACTAATGGAGTAATATAGAAAGCCAATATAAATAAACCCTCATATATATGGTCAAATGATTTTTATGGGAAATGAACTGCCTTTACAACAGTTAGTGCTGGGGAAATTGGGTACCTACATGTAAAAGAGTGAAACTGTTCCCTTAACTTATACCATAAGAAAAAATTAACTAACTCGACAAAAACCTAAATGTAAGAGCTAAAACTACAAAATTCTTAGTATAAAATGTAGGTAAAACATGTCATAACGCTGGATTTCGCAGTGATTTTTTTTAACAGGACACAAAAAATGCAAGAAACAAAAGAAAAATAAAGAGGACTCTATCCAGAATATACAAAGAACAATTCAGCAATAATAAAACAAAATACTTGTTTAAAATATGGGCAAAATACTTAAACAGACATTTCTTTAAAAATTATGTGAAATGGCTAATAAGTCCATGAAAAGGTGCTCAACAAAACTAATCATTAGTAAAATGCAAATATAACTCCAAATGATATATCACTTAATACACATCAGCATAGTTACTACCAAAAGAAACAAAACAAAACAGAAAATCACAAGTGTTGGTGAGGACGTGGAGCAATTAGAACCCTTGTACACTGTTGTTGGAAATGTAAAATGTTGCAGCTGCTATAAAATAACAGTATAATAACTAAAAAATGTACACCAAAAGTCACCATATGATCCCACAATTTCACATCTGGGTATGTAGCAAAAGATGTGAAAGCAAAGACACAAAATAATACACGTACACCTAGGCTCATGGCAGCATTACTCACATCACCCAAAAGGTTTGTGAATTACCCGTGTTGTTTGAATTATCATCAATGAATAAATAAATAAAATGTGATTTATACATATATTGGAACGTTATTCAGTTATGTAAAATAAGAAAATTCTGACACATGGTACGTTATGCATGAACCTTAAGGACATTGTGCAAAGTGACATAAGCCAGTCATAAAAGGACAAATACTGTATCATTCCACTTATGAGATACTTAGAGTAGTTAAATTCTAGAAATCCAAGTAGAAGAGTGGTTCCTAGGAGCTGGAGGGGGAGTAACAGGGAGCTGTTATTTAATGTGCATTAAATTTTGGTTTTGGAAGTTGAAAGAAGGTCCCTATGAATGAGAATAATAGTTGCAAAACAATGTGAGTGTAGTTAATTTTTCTGAGCTGCACACTTAAAATAGCTAAAATGGTTAATTTTATGTATACTTTGCCACAATATAAAAAATATTTTTTAAATAAACAAACTATAGCTATCTGCAATAGGATGAATTAATATCATAAATATAAAGTTGCATAGAAGAAAGTAGATGTAAAAGTATACATGTTGTACAATTTCACTTATATAAAATCCAGAAAGTGAACACAACTGAGGTTCTGGCTTCCAGTAATAATGAAGTAGAGTAGATTGTTCAATAACTGTTTCACATATACTATAATAAAGTTTAATAAAATACTATATTTTGCTATATAGAAACGCACACTGTTTAGAAGAACTGAATGAAGATTTTAGTATTGCCACTGTAGAAGAGATAAGGATTGGGGTTTGCATCTATTCAAATTAACTCCCTCATAAAATAATAATTTTCAAAGAAATACAACAGAAGCCAGAGTCCCTGTAATTCCTATCACACAATTTAAAAATTTATGAGATGCGTGAAGAAGGATGAAAATGTAATCGATTCACAAGATAAAAAGCAGACAATAGAACCTATTCTCAAGATGTGCAAGATGCTGTAATCGGTAGGTAAGATTTGAAAGAAGCTATGGTAAGTATGTTCATGGGGTTAAAGGAAAACAGTCTCATGACAAGTGAACAGATGTGTAACTGTGCACTCCCAGTCCTTTGGTCACAGGGCTGCAGGACTAAGGAAGGAAATTAAAGAAAAATGAAATTAAAAGGAAAGAGAAATAAGTTTTCTTGTATTAGGCTGATTTGTCCCAGAGGCAGCAATAGGCACAGCCCAGACCCAGGAAAATTCTTGATAATATTATGTAATGTGCTCTGGAGGTTCTCCCAACACTCCCCCAACACAGGGAAAAGAAAAACAAATTCCCTTTGTTTTATGGAATGAGTTTATAGATTCTTGTTCTCTGTAACTAGTGACTTCAAGTATTGTGTTTTATCGAAGAAGTACAATGAAAGTCATGAGAAGCCTGAGTAGGCTGAACTACAGCTGTTTGGGCACCATAGTGAGGGTTATAGGATAAGCCCATGCCCAGGGAAACCTAGATAATGGACATGTGGGTTGCTTGGCAACGGTCATGTGCAATCCTGTCTTTGTCCTGCCTCTGTATTCCTGCTTTCACGCCACTGTAAGCTCGCTTCAAGCTAGCCCACCCCCTTTTGTGAAGTGTGTATAAAAGTCAGGTGTTGTCTGTGTTCCGGGCCCGGTCTTTTTGACGTGAGTCAGCTGGTCCTGAGTGCACTCAATAAAGATTCTCCTGTTTCAACCTGAGGTCTGTCTCGTCCTCCTGAATCCCGCAACAGGAGAATTCCAGTATGCACCATGTTCAGGGAACAGTGCGCGTCACTGAAGGAAAAGTGGGGCGGGAGGGGGTGGTGCATGGCTGTGAGAGCCTCTTGGGCTTGCTGGGAGATGTAGTCTTATAAAGACTCCCAGCCCCTTTGTCACAGGGCTGCAGCACCACAATCCCAGCATACAACGGAATCAGGGACAGTGCGCGTCGCTAGAAGAAGAGGTAGAGCTGTGCATAACTCGCTGGGCTTGCTGGAAAATGTAATCTCATGAACACTCCTTAGTGAACAGTGAGCGTCACTGGAGGAAAAGGCGGGGCTGTGCAGGCCTTGCTTTAGTTGCTGAGAGATGCGGTCTCATAAACACTCCCAGCCCTTTGGTCACAGGGCTGAAGGACTACATTTCCATCATGCACCGGGATCAGGGATAGTGCGTGTGCCTGGATGAAGAGGCAAAGCTTTGTGTGCCTCCTTTGGCTTGCTGGGAGATGTAGTTTCATAAAGTCACCAGACCTTTCATTACAGGGCCGCAGAACTACAATCCCAGTATGCACCAAGATCAAGGATAGTGCGCGTTACTGGAGGATGAGGAGGGATTGTACACGTCTCGCTGGGCTTGGTGGGATATGTATTCTCATAAATACTCCCAAACCTTTGGTCACAGGGCTGCAGGACTACACTCCCAGCCAGCACCGGGTTCAAGGAAATTGCGCGTCACTGGAGGAAGAGGCGGGGTTGTTTGTTACTCGCTGGGCTTGCTGGGAGATGTATTCTCATAAATCCTCGCAGCCCTATCGTCACAGGGCTGAAGGACTACACTTCCAGCCCCAGCATGCACTGGGCTCAGGGACAGCACACGTCACTGGAGGAAGAGGGAGGGCTGTGCGCTTCTCACTCTGCTTTTTTGGGAGATGTAGTCTCATTAACACTCCTAGCCCTTTGGTCATAGATCGCCAAGGACTGCAATCCCAGCATGCACCCAGCTCAGGGACAGTGCGCTAGTCACTGCAGGAAGAGGCAGGGCTGTGTGCACCTCCTGGGAGTACTGGGAGATGTATTCTCATAAACACTCCCAGCTCTTTGCTCACAGGGCTGCAGGAATACATTCCTAGTATGCACCCAGCTCAGTGACAGTGCGCTAGTCTAAGGAGAAAGAGGCCGGGCAGTGTGCGCCTTGCTGGGTTTCCTGAGAGTTGTAGTCTCATGGCCTCTCCCTGTCCTTTGGTCACGGTGCTATAAGACTACAATCCCAGCATGCTTGGGGCTCACGGACAGTCTACATCACTGGAGAATGAGGGGAAGGTTGTGTGCACCTCGCTGCACTTGCTAGGAAATGTAGTTTCATAAAGACTCTGAGACCTTTTGTCACGGGACTGCAGGACTCCAATCCCAGAATGCATCAGGATCAAAAACAGCATGCGTCACTGGGAAAAGATGTGGGGCTGTGTGCGTCTCCCTAGGTTTTCTCGGAGATGTAGTCTCGTGTCCTCTCCCTACCCTTGGCTCACAGTGCTATAAGACTACAATCCCAGCATGCTTGGGGCTCACGGACATTCCCCTTCACTGGATAAGGATGGGAAGGTTCTGCGCACCTCGCTGCGCTTCTTGGGAAATGTAGTTTCATAAAGCCTCTCAGACCTTTTGTCATAGGGCTGCAGGACTACAATCCCAGTATGTATCAGGATCAAAAACAGTATGCGTCACTGGGAAAAGATGTGGGGCTGTGTGCCTCTCCCTACGTTTTCTGGGAGATGTAGTCTCATAAACACTCTTGGCCCTTTGGTCACAGGGCTGCAGGACTACAATCCCAGCATGCAGCGAGTTCAGGGACTGTGTGTGTGTGTGTGTGTGTGTGTGTGTGTGTGTGTGTGTCCCTGGAGGAAGACGTGGAGCTGTGCGTGCCTCGCTGGGCTTGCTGGGAGATGCATTCTGATAACCAATCCCAGCCCTTTCATCACATAGCTGTAGGACTACAATTCCAGCATGCACGG
Organism: Homo sapiens; assembly: GCF_000001405.40. Classification (NCBI taxonomy): domain Eukaryota; kingdom Metazoa; phylum Chordata; class Mammalia; order Primates; family Hominidae; genus Homo; species Homo sapiens. The sequence goes on along the minus strand of NT_113930.2, from coordinate 87,833 downwards.
GGCACCGGGACAGTTCGCCTCAATGGAGGAAGAGAAAGGGGTACATGCGTCTCGCTGGGCTTTCTGGGAGATGTAGTCTCATTATTTCTCCCAGCCCTTTTGTCACAGGGCTTCAGGACTACAATCCCAGCATGCACCGTGCTCAGGGAGAGCGCGCCTCAGTGGAGGAAGAAGTGGACCTGTGCTCTTCTCGCTATGCTTTTTCGGAGATGTATTCTCACACACTCTTAGCCCTTTGGTCACTGGGCTGCCCTTTGGTCACAGGGCTGCAGCACTACAATCCTAGCATGCATGGGACTGAGGGAGCATGCGCTAATCAGTGGAGGAAGGGGCGAGGCTCTGCACGCCTCTCTGGGCTTGGTGGAAGATGCAGTCTCATAAACACTCACAGCCCTTTTGTCACAGGGCTGCAGCGCTACAATCCTAGCATGCACCGGGCTCAGGGAAAGTTGGCGTCACTGGAGAAAGAGGCAGGGTTGTGTGCACCTCCTGGGCTTGGTAGGAGATGTAGTCTCATAAACACTCCCAGACCTTTCATCACCGGGCTGCAGGACTACAATCCCAGCATGCACCCAGCTCAGGGACAGTGCGCATTACTGGAGGAAAAGGCTAGGCTGTGGACCCCTCCTTCTGCTTCCTGGGAGAGGTAGTTTCATGGAGACTCCCAGAACTTTCATCACAGGGATGCAGGACTACCATCCCAGTATGCACTGGGGTCAGGGACAGTCCGCGTCAGTGGAAAAAGAGGCGGGGCTGTGTGCGTCTTCCTAGGCTTGCTGGGAGATATATGCTCATAAACACTCCCAGCCCTTTGGTCGCAGAGCTTCAGGACTACAATCTTAGCATGCACCTGTCTCAGGGACAATGCGTATCACTGGGGGAAGAGGCGGGGCTGTGTGCTCCTCCCTAGGATTGCTGGGAGTTGTATTCTCATAAACACTCCCAGCCCTTTGGTCAAATGGCTACAGGACTACAATCCCAGCATGCGCCAGTCTCCGGGGTAAGGCATAGCCCTGGAAGAAGGGGCAAAGTTGTACATGCCCCACCTAATATGCTGGGAGCTGTAGTCCGTTAACTGCTCTCAGCCTATTTGTCGGTGGGCTTCAGAACCATAATCTCAGCATATACCGGGATCCGGGGTGCATAGACCTGGAGGGAGGGACAGAGCGGTGTGGACTTCCCAGTGTCCAAAGCATTGCTGAGTTCTTATGCTATGCCGACTCTTTGCCACAGAGAGTGAGTACAGAGGTGGACCTGGAGGACAGGTCTGGGCTGAGCATTGAGGAGGGTATTACCCTATGTAGGCACCTTACCTTTGCCCAAATCAGGCGGGTTATCCTCACCCGATTGGCCCTATGCTTCTCAGGTTCCTCTTTCAGCTGCACCCAGGGTTCCTTCCAGAGCATTGCACCTTCTGCAGCTCAGGGCACTGCCTTTTTTCCTAAACTACTGTGGAAACTGTCCTGATGTCTGAGACACTGTCCATTGTGCAGCAGCCCTCTTTTTTCTCTAGCCAGAGCGCGTGCTCAATGGCTTTTGAGAGAAATCTTCCACATGGCCTGCTTGTGAACAGCTTCAGAGCTCTGCAGGGGCTGACAAGGGCTGAGCCTTCCTGGAAACGTCACTCTCAATGGCGCCTTTTTCACGAATGTGAAAGTCGAGGCATCAGGAAGTTAGTTTAATGGGTTGCAGAAAATCTAAGAGCAAGGGAGAAAACCCGCTTTCCAAGGCGTGAGTTTTGTGAGCCATTTTCATCAACCCATTTAAGTGGACAAGCTCCAAAATGTAACCTGAAGCTGCTGACTATTTAGGCATTTTACAATTAAAATCATCGGTCTCATCCCAAGTCGTGCCTCACTTGCCAGTGTCTCAGAGACACAAATGGGACCTGATCCCTCAGGAACAGATAGTGTTCCAGGTTCGTGGGAGCGACTTTTAAGTTGTGGAGCACTTGGGGTCGTTTGAAACCCACTATCTTCAGTAGGGACTTTTACGTCTAGAGAGCATGTGCATTTTGATTTTATCTGTCTTCAAGCTGAACCTTTGCTCATTTTAACAAGTAAAAACACATTCCTGGGTGAAATGTCATTGCATGCTAATGAGACATGAAACATATGCAAAAATATGTACAGCTACTGCACATGTGCACCCAGAAGACCAGTCAAAGCATGCCTTCTATAACACTTCTTTCCACCTTCTTATGAATAATCATGTAAAACTCCCAGAAGGAGGGTTTCTCCAGCAACAATTAATGCTGTCTCACTCTTATGAGCAGGCTGCCCTGGAATCTCTTTCTCAGACTGTACCGTCTATTCTGCACTTGATTTTCAACGTATTCTTTTCTTTTTTGTGTGCAATAAATTACTCTATGCTGTACTTCTTTTGCTGCATGTTTCCTGTTTAAATTCTTTTAAGCTAAGAAGATAAGAACCAAGGTATTACATCAGCCATCAACATTTCTTTTGCCATGGCCCGGAGAGAGGTTTGTCTGCTTCATTAATTTCAGTTTCCCTTTTCTTGCAGTGAATACTATGGCACTTCCAGACTACCTGGTTAACTATCGCTGGTTGTTCCAGCGCTGTTTCACTAAAGTTCTGGGGGAAACGTGTTTAAATCACCTATATTCTCTAGAGAGAGAATATATGTCTGCTCTCCTTTTGGCTGCTGCATCTGTACTATCCATAAATGACACTCACCGCATGGGTTGCTCTCAACATTTCATATTCGGGCTAGTTTGCTGCTTAGTTTCACATCTTTCTGGCCACACTTCAGACTCAGCTTATCGTTTGCTGTCCCTTCGGCAATACTCGATCGCCACCTAGTGGCTATTGTACTTTATTTTCTGATCGGGTTTTCTGTTTACAGTTTTGTCTTGTTTTGTTTTGAGTGGAATATTAAGAGAACCCTGTCCCTTCAGGCTTTATGCATTTCCCACCTCCTTGAAATTGTTCTTCAACAGGTTTTCTTTGCTGAACAAACGACTCAAAGTCATGTAGATGCCCGGTCGTGGGGTTTGAATCTGAGCATTGCAGGTGTCATAATTCGGCATCATAAATTGCAAACCAGTAAATTAGGGAAAGGCTTGTCAGCCAGACATCTGCCCCCCAGCCAGCAGTGGGGGTCATCTCGGCACGGCTGGAGATGTGCAGCGCTTGTGAGAGATAGGACGGTGTATGGCACATGCCTATGACCTCCTAGAGCTTCAGTTAATGGGGTCTCGAGGGGCTGTGCTGGACACCTTGGTGGTTCCACTTGTCCCATTGTGATGCCCATGGCCTCCTGGACTTTAGTACATGTTCTGACGTTGCAAGATTCCGTCGGCACCATGGGAGCCGCTTCCTCTACTGTCATTGAAACACCCCTGGGATGTATATTTAAAAATTGAAACAGCTTTTGGCTAGATGAACCAAAAAAAAAAAAAAGAAAAGAAAAAACTTATCTTCTTTTGTAATACTATTTAGCTTGCATACAGATTAGCTCACAAAACATGGCTGGGGAATGAGACTGTGAACTTTAACACCCTCCTACAGCTAGATCTTTTCTGTAGAAATCAGGGAAAATGGTCTGAAATATCCTATGTGCAAACCTTTATGGCCTGACAACAAAACCCAGCTCTATGCAGCACCTGTGGGCTAAAGCCTAGTAAGCCACAAAGCCCCTCAGAAGCATTAGAAGATCATCTCTTATTAAGGGGAAGGGACCCCAGACCCAACAGCCCAACACCAGCTCCAGATAGGGACTCTCAAGGGCCTACACCTCCTGTAGAATCCGCAGCATCCCCACACTATCAGAGTCTTCTGTAGAATCTAAGCTTGTTTCACCTCCTCCTTATGCTCCTCTCTATCAGCCTTTGCCAGGTACAATAGTGAGCAGCCCAGCTGTAGTTACTCGCGGTGGAACTTCACACCATGCAGGGCCAGAGAATTTGATCCGCTTACAGAAAGTCCCAAATGGAGAGAGGACCATCAGAGTGCTTGTTCTCTTCTCAATAAATGATCTAATCCAATGCACGCAACAGCTCTGATGGCTCCCAAAGAACTTCAGCGCATTTACTGAAGCCTTCCAGGCTCTAACTTTGACCACCATTCAACTTCACCATCCATAAATGGACCCAATGACTGCTGACCACGTAGCTGCAGAAAACTTTTGCTTATTGGCAAAAAATAGAAAAGACTTAAAACTTTTGCTGCTTTCACCATTTCAATGCAGAATTCCTTTGCAGCACAAATGTCACCATAAGGTGGAGCCTTGGGAATCCAGTATAAACTATCTCAGAAAATCTCAGTGTGTCCCCAACAGGCAGCAGAGGGCCTCAATAGACTTCAACAACATCTGGACTCCATGGCCACTGTAGTCCGACAAAACCAAGGAGCCTGGGATCTTCTCCCAGCCGGGTAAAGAGGAACATGTTTATATCTAAAAGAAGAATGCTGTTTTTGAGATCAATCAGTCTGGTTTAGTCGAAGAAAATATTAATAATATCATCACCCAGGCAGACAAAATTGAATCTCTAGGAACTTCCATGGGAACATGAAAGCTATGTCCGTTGTCTGCCTTGCTCTCTTTAATAGTACCCGTCATTATTATATTTTCAACTTTTACTTTTGTTCCAATTTTGTTTAAAATGTTAACTGATTTCTTGCTCTCTTGCTTACGGCAACTCCATGTTTGCATGATGGTTTTGCAAGGCTTTCAACCTTTGGTTGCCAGCATCTTCCCACTGGTTCCACGAACGACATGGTTTACACCCTGTTAGATCACACAGGAAGAAACTTTAAGGCCCAGGCTAGGCAGAAGTAACACCCGCTCAGCAGGAAACAGCTCCAGAAATAATGGCCTAACCCCTCAACCTCCAATATGATTATTGCCCTAAAATCTCTTAGGGGGAAATTGAGGCAGAATAGATAGTACAGAAAATGACCATGATCTCAGGATACAGAAACCATGGTGACTGTACAGCCAACACAATAAGCCGTAGCATTCGCATTGTAATTGGGCTTATTCAAGCAAAGTTATCCTCATTAAGGACTTTCTGTTCTAGAAAGCATGTGCATTTTGATTTCACCTGTCCTCAAACTTAACTTTCGCTTATTTTAATAGCAAAAAATATAGGCCCTAGCCAGGCAAGGTGGCTCATAACTGTACTCCCAGCACTTTGGGAGGCTGAGGAAGATGGATCACTTCAAACCAGAAGCTTGAGACTAGACTGGCCAACATAGTGAAATCTCGTCTCAACTAAAAATACAAAAATTAGCAGGGTATGGTGGTGCATGCCTGTAATCCCAGATACTCTGGAGGCAGAGGCATGAGCATGGCTTGAACTCAGGAGGCGGAGGTTGCAGTGAGCAGAGATCACACCACTGCACTCCAGCCTGGGTAACACGGGGAGACTCTGTCTCAAACAAACAAACAAACAGAAATACACTCCTGGGTGGAGATCTAAGATGCTAACGAGACATGCAACATATGAACAAGCATGTATAGTCACTGCGTATGTGCACCCAGAATATCACTCAGAACATGCTTATAAGCAACTCCTCTTCCCTCCACCTTATTAATAATAATGTAAAACTCCCGTAAGGGGGTTTCTCCAGCGACAGTCCACGCTGTCTCACTCTTACGAGCAGCCCGCCCTGGAGTATCTCTCTCAGGGTGTACTGTAATCTGCACTTAACTTTCAAGTATTTTCTTTTCCAATAAATTATGCTGTACTTTTTTTCCTTGTGTCTCTTGTTTAAATTCTTAAAAACTAAGAAGACAAGAACAGAGGTATCACATCACTTGTCAACACAGCAATAAGTCAGCCTCCTTCTTGTAAGCATAGCCCATGCAGAAAAGGAGAGTCGCATCACCTAGGTGCTGGATCCAGAGATATGTCACAACTTATCCCAGGCACCAAGTTAAGGTCATTGAAGATAGTCGTGTTAAATAGTTTCTGGCCCCAGGGATATGTCACAATGGCTCCTGTGAGCAGAGATCAGGCAGCATAATCACATAACCGGTGTGCTGGACACAGCGATAAGCCACTCTTTCATCTGTGGGCATGACCCGGGCAAGAAAGAAGAGCCACAGCATTTAGGTGCTTGCTGCAGAGGTACGTAACAATCTCTCTTATGGGCAAAACTCGGGTAAGAGAGGAGAGTCAAATCTCCAAGGTGATTCATGTAGAAATTTGTCACAAGAAACTTTTTAGGCAGGGCCCATGTTGGATCTTCTTATCTTCCAGAAGTTAGGTCCAGGGATACGTCAGAATACCCAAAATACACAGGGCTCAGTCAATAAAGGAGAGTCACATCACCCAGGTGCTTTGTCTAGACATATGTCACATCTCTTTTATGGGGAAAGCTCAGGTAAAAAAGGAAGGTCACATCAAATAGTTGATAGACCCAGAGATATGTCACTTTGCCTCCTGCTTGAAGTGTCTAGGCCAAAGACTCACATCACCTCAGTGTTAGGCCCGTGTTCATATATAAACATTCAACCAGAGTTGAAATGGTGGCCCACATCTAAACTCAGCTCATAGGCAAGGGAGGACTCTCCTATCCTGACCTAGTTAATTGTAATGATGTTGACTCTCATACCGGGCTTAATGCTACAAGTACGATCATGGGTCCCTACCATTAGGAAGGTGTCAAAGTTGATTACGACTCTCATGCATAGAGTATAGGGCCATTGGGTAGTACACAGAGCGTGCTAACTGGGCCGAGCACACAGGTGAGATTGTGACACTCATATGCACACCCAGCCAACAGTAACTATTGTCATCCTCTCACGGGAACACAGGTCAGTCTGCAGAGGAATTGAGACTCTCATGCACAAATCCAGTCTGGTGTTGAGAGGGTTATTCGTGAGCTTAGACCCAACATACAGGAGGTGTTGAATGTCATGCCTACAACTGAGACAGTTGTGGGATTGTTAATCTAATTCCTGGACCATTCTGCAGCTTTCATGGTGAAATTTGCCGGTGCCTAGCACCTGAGTGACTTGATGGTCTCACATGGACCCAGCCCACAGATGGGATATTAACATATTGCTGGATCCAGCACATTGAGGGTGTAACTCTATTCTCCTTCCTTGGCACTGCCCACAGTGAGCATTTTGACATATCGCTAGACCTTGCACCCGGAGATGTGAGTCTCCTCTTCTGCCTTGGCGCTGCCCTCAGGAAGCATTGTTATATATAGCTTGGCCTCGCATCCAGGTTATGTGACTCTCCGGCTTGTGCATTGCCCATATGGGACACTGTGTTATATTGCTGGGTCCACTACTCAGGCTATGTAACCCAACAGCCTGGGCCCTGCCTTACAGGGGCATTGTGACATATCTCTGTGCTCATCAGCCTGGTAATGTGATTCTCTTCTCCTGCCTGGTCCCTTTACACAGAAGGGATTGTGACACGTTGCTGGGCTTAGCACCAAGTTGATGATGTGAATCTTCTGCCTGGATCGAGTTCACAGAAGGCATCGTGACATACCTCTGGGTCCATCATCTATTTGATGCAACTCTCCTCTCTTACCTGAGCATTGCCCATAAGACAGATTGTGACATAACCCTGGGTCTAGCACCGGGATGATGTGACTCCTCTCCTTGCCTGGGGCATGCCCACAGAAGGAAGTGTGACTTATAACTGGGAACAGCACAGGGGTGATGTGATTCTTCTGCCTGGTCCCTACCTACAGGAGTCATTGTCAAATGCCTCTGGGCCCATCATCTAGACTATGTGACTCTCTACTTCTTCCTATGGCCGGCTCACATAAGGATTGTGACATATTACTTTGCCCAGTACCTACATCATGTGACTTTTCTCTCATATCTGGGCTCCGTCTTGGAGATGAATGTGACACATAGCTAGGCCTAGCCCCTAGGTTCTGTAACTTCTCTTTTTTCAAAATCCTACCCACCAGGGTCATTGAAACATCTCTCTGGGCACTTCACTTAGGTAATGTTATCCTGTTGCCTGGAGCCTCCCCTCTGGGGGGTATGGTGACATATTGCTGGACACAGTACCTATGTGATATTCTCTCCTTTCTTGCCTGGGCCTTGTATACATTGTGTATTATAATATATGGCTGGGTTCAATGACTAGGTGTTGCAACTCTCATGCATAGGTCCTACCCGCAGGGACATTATGACATTTCTTTAGCTCTGACTCTCCTCTTTTTCCTTAGCCCTGCCAAAAAGGGAGGTGGTGACATATAACTGGACCTAGCAACCAGCTAATATGAGTCTCCTCTTTTGCCTGCACCCAGCATATTTTAGGTGTTGTATCATATCCTTTGTCTCAACACCTGCAGGATGAAAGGCTCCTGCCTGAGCCCAGCCATCTGTCAAAATTGTCATTCTCCCACACGAACATGGAACATAAATGAGGTTCTGAAACTCACACCCAGAGGCAGTGAAAAGTTGGAAAATTGGCTCTAATAAGTGGATGTTGTCCTTAAGTGGGTTTGTGACTCCCTGACCAAGATCCAAAACACTTGTGAGGCTGTGAGTCCACTAAGATAACTCCGTTTTCAAAAGGGATTAAGGCTCTCATGGAAAAAACCCATTCCTCCATTGAGATTGTGACTTATGCACATAGATGCAACATACAGGAGGCGTTCACTCTCATATCCAGAACTGGCACTTATGAGGGATTGTTAATCTCATCCATGGACCTTCCTGCAGGTGTGATTCTGACGTACACCTCTAGCCAGCTCCTGAGTGATTTGACTTTTTTGCCTGGGTGTAGCCCACAGATGAGATTGTGATATATCCTTGAATCCAGCATCTAATTAATATGCTTCTAATCTCCTGTCTTGGCACTGCCCATAAAGGGTATCCTGACCTAACACTGGTCCTGGCACTTTGTTATATGACTGTGTCCTGTGCTTTGCCCACATGAGCCATTGTGACATATTGCTGGGTCCAACACCCAGGTGATGTAACTCTTGTCTAGACTTTACCTACATGGGGTCATTGTGACATATCTGTGCACTGTTCACCCAGGTGATGGGACTCTCTTGTCCTGTCTGGTGCCTGTTCACAGCTGGGATTCTTACACATCGCTGGGGACAGACTCTAACTAATGTGACTGTCTTTTTACTGAGGACTACCCACAGGAGGAATTGGAAATATCTATGGGCCTCTCACTTAAATGATGTGACTCTTTTCCTGGGCTCATTTCTCAGGGTTATTGTGACATATGGCTGACCTCAGCATGGAGGTGATGTGAGTTTCTTCTACTGCTAGGGCTCTGACCAAAGACAGATTACAATGTATCATCGGGCCCAGCACCTGGGTGATTTGACTCTCCCCTCTTGGCTGGGCCCTGCATATATTGTGTATTGTGACATATCACTGGGTCCAACACCTAGGTAATGTGACTTACCTGCATGGCCCATTTCCACCTGGGTATTATGACATATCTTTTTGTTCATCACTTAGGTGATGCAACTCTCCTCTTTGCCTTGGGCCCTGCATAATTTAGCTATTGTGTTGTATCACTGGGCCAATCGCCTAGACAATAGGAATCTTCTGCCAAGGCCCTGACTACTGGGGACCTTGTGACATAGCTCTGCATTTATCACCTAGAAAATGTGATTCCCCCATTTCTGCCTGAGCCCTGCTCACAAGAAAAACTGTAGCATATTTCTGGGCCCAGCAAACAGGTGATGTGTTTCTCCTGCCTGTGCCTTGCTCACAGGGAAAATTGTGACATATCGCTGGACCCAGAACCCAGGTGAGGTGACTCTGCTGCATGTGTCATGCTTTCAGGAGGGAACAAGAACATATCCCTGGCAGAATACCTAGGGATGTGACTTTCTTGCCTTGTCCCTGTCCTCAGGGGAGAATGTGACGTATCCCTGACAATGACCCAGGTGATGAGACCCTCCTGCTTGCTGACTACTCAAATGTGAGATTGTCACATATATTTTGGCCTAACATGTAGGTGTGATGATGACATTCATACCTTAAACCAACCAATAGGAGAGATACTTTGTCTCATATCCAGGCTTTACAAAATGTGCAAAATTATGGGTCTTCTCTTACTATGAAGGTCAGAGAAAATAAGCACTCTTGCATATCCTGTAAAGCACTCAGATGGTACAGTGTCATCACAGGGCCCAGAACACAGGTGAGATTGTGTTCTCTGTGTGCACACCCACCAATCATCAGAATTGTCATTCCTACACAGGAACAGAGGTGATTAGGGAGGTCTAAACCTCATACCTGAATGCCGTCCACAGCTGGAATTGTAACTACCACATGTGAACATCCAGTCACAGTTGGGATAGTGACTTATTTCTGAACCCAGTTTACAGCCAAGTAAAGATCCTCTTATCTGAATCCAGCCAGCTGGAGAGATGTTGACTCTCATACCTGGGCTTATGGCCACAGGTATGATCATAGGTTCATATCAGCATGAAGACCTCAGAGTGGATTATGTTTAATGCATACTCTACAAAGCCCATAGGAGGTACATAGTGTCCTAACAGGGCCCAGCAAACAGGTGAGATTCTAACACTCATGCACACTCTGGTGACAATAAAAGTTATCCTCAAAAATGAGCACAACCGGCCGGGTGCGGTGGATCAGGCCTGTAATCGCAGCACTTTGGGAGGCCGAGGCGGGTGGATCACGAGGTCAGGAGATCAAGACCATCCTGGCCAACGTGGTGAAACCCCGCCTCTCTACTATTTATTTATTATTATTATTTTGAGACAGAATCTTGCTCTGTCACCCAGACTGGAGTGCAGTGGCACCATCTAGTCTTACTGTAACCTCCGCCTCCCAGGTTCAAACAATTCTCTTGTCTCAGCTTCCCGAGTAGCTGGGACTACAGGCTCATGTCACCATGCCCAGTTAATTTTTATATTTTTGGTAGAGACGGGGTTTCACCATATTGATTAGACTGGTGTCAAACTCCTGACTTCAAGTGATCCACCCACTTCGACCTCTCAAAGTTCTGGGATTACGGGCATGGAACACTGTGCCTGGCAACCCCATCTCTACTAAAAATACAAAAATTAGCTGGGCATGGTGGCATGTACCTGCAATCCCAGCTACTCAGGAAGCTGAGGCAGGAGAGTCGCTTGAACCCAGGAGGCAGAGGTTGCAGAGAACCGAGATCGTCCCACTGCACTCCAGCCTGGCAATAGAGTGAGACTCCATCTCAAGGGAGAAAAAAAAAAAAAAGAAAGCAAAGAAGAAAGAAAGAAAGAAAGAAAGACAGAAAGAAAGAAAGAGAGAAAGAAAGAAAAAGAGAAAGAAAGAAGGAAGGAAAAGAAAGGGAGAAAGAAAAGAAAAGAAAAGAAAGAAAGAAAGAAAGAAAGAAAGAAAGAAGGAAAGAAAGAAAGAAAGAAAGAAAGAGAAAGAAAAAAAAGAAAATTGACTCTCATATATGGATCTTGTCCACAGGTAGGTGGGTGACTCTCAAACCAAAATTCATTACATCTGTGAGACTGTAACTCTCCTAAGGGGACACGGTCAGCCAGAGAAGACACATTTATGAATCCAGTTCACTGTTGAGATTGAGACTGGTGTACTTAGGCCCAACATGCAAATTCTCATACCTGGAATCCGGACATGTGTGGAGTTGTTCATCTCATCCCTGTCGCTTTCTGCAGGTGGGATTGTGACATACATCTCTGCCCAGCTCCCGAGTATTTTAGCTCTGTTTCCTGTGCCCAGCTCACAGATGGGATTCTGATATATCACTGAAGCCAGCACCTAGGTTATGTGACTCTTACCTCCTGCCTTGGTGCTGCCCACAGGGGACATTGGGACATATCACTTGGCCTTGCACCTAGGTAATGTAAGTTTTCTGTCTTGCATTAGTGCTACTCACCGGGGCGTTGTGATGTATTGCTGGGTCTCACATCCATGTTATGTGACTCTTCTGCCGGTGCCCAGGCCACAATGGCCATTGTGACATACTGTTGCATACAAAACCTAGATGATCTACCTCTCCTTCCTGAGCTTTGCCTAAGGGGACATTGTGAAATATCTATGAGCCCATCACCCATGTGGTGTGATTTTCTTCTCCTGCCTAGTCCCTGCTTAAAGAAAGGATTGTGACATATCACTGTGCCCAGCACCTACCTCATGTTACTCTTCTTTTGTTTTTTAGGATTTGTTTGGAAGGAGATTGTGATACATTGGTGGGTCCAACTTCGAGGTGACATTACTCTGTTGACTTTGCCCTGCAAGCAGAAAGCACTGTGACACATTATTAGGCCCATCTCCTGCCTGAAGCCTGCCTACAGCAATTTGTAACATATGGCATTGGGACATATCTCTGAGCCCATCAACTATTTGATAAAACTCTTCTTTTTTAACAAAGGCTTTGCCTATAGGAGAGATTGTGACTAATTCTGAGCTCAGAAAATAGGTGATGTTTCTTTAGTTTTTCTGCTTGAGCCCCACATTGTGATGTATTTCTGGTCCCAACAACTGAGGGAAGGGAATCTCCTGTCTGGGTCTTGCCTACAGGGAGACTTGTGAAATATTTCCGCGTTCATCACCTTAAATATGTGACCCTCATCTTCTGCGTGGCCATGTTTACAGAAGGGAGAATGGGTTATTCCTAGACCCAGCACACAGATCATGTGATTCTGCATCCTGGTCTCTTCAGAGGGTTCATTTTGACATATCTCCAGACTCATCAACTAGATGATGTGACGGTCCTCTTCTCCCTGAAACCTATCCATAGTGGAGATTGTGAAATACAGCCTGGCACAGCACCTACATGATGGTGCTCTCTTCTCATGCCTGGGTGCTGCCCACAGGGGTCATTGTGACATAGCTGGGTACAGTCTTCAGGTGATGTAACTCTCCTCTATTTTGGGGTGCACACACACAGGGCATTACCATATAGCTCTGCTCCTCAGACCTAGGTGATGTGACTCTCCTGTCTGTTACCTCCTCTTAGGGGGTATTGTGATATATTGCTGGGCCCAGAACCGAGGTGATGTGGCCTTTTCTCTTGCCTGGGCCCTGCATACATGGTGTACAGTAACATATATCTGGGTTGAACACATAGGTGATGTGACTCTTCTGCATAGGTCTTGCCAACAGGGGTATTATGACATACCTTTCTATTCATTGCCTAGGCTATGTGACTCTCCACTCTTATCTGGGCCCTTCCAAAAGAGGGGATTGTGACATATCAGTGACCCTACCACCAAGGTGATGTGACTGTTCTCTTTTGCCTGGGTTTGCATATTTTGGGTATTGTGACATATCCCCGGGCCCAACACTTAGGGGATAAAAGGCTTATTCCTCTACCTTATGCACAGAGAAACTTGTGACGTTTTTCTGCATTCATCACCAAGGAGATGTGACTCTCCTACCTGCATCCTGACCACAGAGAGGATTGTAACATATTGCTAGATCCAGCACCCAGGTGATGTGACTCTGCTGCCTGGTTCCTAATTTAAGGAGTGGATTGCTACATACCCATGCCTGAGCATTCAGGTAATGTGTCTCTGTTCTCTGGTCCCTGTTCTCAGGGAAGCGACATATCCCTGGCCCAGCGTCCAACTGATTTTACTCTCCTTCTCTCTTCCTATATGAAGGTGTAATTGTGACTTATATCTTGGAACACAACACACAGGTGCAATGATGACTTTCATATGTCACACCAGCCAATAGGAGAGATCCTGCTTCTCCTACCGACACTTAGGGAAATGAAAAAAAAAAAATCCCTGGGTCTCCTCGTTAAGATCATCCACTCTCTCACATATTACAGAAAGCCCTCGGGTGGTAGAGAGTCTTATCACAGGGCCCAGCACACAGGTGAAATTTGTTACTCCTATGCGCACCCTGCACCCTCCTGGCCATTATGATTTTCACCCTCACATATAAACAGAACCCACTTGTGGGGTCCTGAATTTCACACATGAATGCAGTTTATAGTTGGAATTGCGAATCTCATATGTAAAGATCTGGCCACAGTTGGAATGGGAACTTCGTTATAAACCCACCGCATAGAAAGGTGATGATTCTCTTATCTGGACCCCGCCAATTGTAAAGATGTTGACTCATATATAGGCTTAGGGCCACAGGTTTGATCCTGGGTCCATACCAGCATGAAAATCTCTGAAAGAATTGAGACTGTCATGCATACCATATAAAGCCCTCAGGTGCAACACAGAAACTCCTAATAGGGCTCAGCACACAGTAATATAATGACATTGGGATGCACACCCAGCCAACATTAAAGATTGTCATTCTTTCACATGATCATAGTTCACTTTTGAGGCTCTGAATCCCATACCCAAAGGCAGTTTCAAAAGTTGAAAAACTGAGCCTTTTTTATGTGTCTTTTGGCTGTATACATATCTTCTTTTGAGAACTGTCTGTTCATATCCTCGCCCACTTGTTGATGGGTTTGTTTGCTTTTTTCTTATAAACTTGTTTGAGTTCTTTGTAGATTCTGGGTATTAGCCCTTTGTCAGATGAGTAGATTGAAAAAATTTTCTACCATTCTGTAGGTTGCCTGTTCACTCTGATGGTAGTTTCTTTTTCTGTGCAGAAGCTCTTTAGTTTAATTAGATACCATTTGTCAATTGTGGCTTTTGTCGCCATTGCTTTTGGTGTTTTAGACATGAAGTCCTTGCCCATGCCTATGTTCTGAATGGTATTGCCTAGGTTTTCTTCTAGGGTTTTTATGGTTTTAGGTCTAACATTTAAGTCTTTAATCCATCTTGAATTAATTTTTGTGTAACGTGTAAGGAAGGGATCCATTTTCAGCTTTCTACATATGGCTAGCCAGTTTTCCCAGCACCATTTATTAAATAGGGAATCCTTTCCCCATTTCTTGTTTTAGTCAGGTTTGTCAAAGATCAGATAGTTGCAGATGTGTGGCACTATTTCTGAGGGCTCTGTTCTGCTCCATTTGGTACCAGTACCACGTACTCTGATTTGGTACCAGTACCATGATGTGCTGCTATAAAGACACATGCACACGTGTGTTCATTGTGGCATTATTCACAATAGCAAAGACTTGGAACCAACCCAAATGTCCAATAATCATAGATTGGATTAAGAAAATGTGGCACATATACACCATGGAATACTATGCAACCATAAAAAATGATGAGTTCATGTCCTTTGTAAGGACATGGATGAAGCTGGAAATCATCATTCTCAGCAAACTATCGCAAGAACAAAAAACCAAACATGGCATGTTCTCACTCCTAGGTGGGAACTGAACAATGAGAACACTTGGACACGGGAAGGAGAACATCACACACCGGGGCCTGTTGTGGGATGGGGGAGGGGGAAGGGATAACATTAGGAGATATACCTAATGTAAATGAGGAGATAATAGGAGCAGCACAGCAACATGGCACATGTATACATATGTAACAAACCTGCACGTTATGCACATGTACCCTAAAACTTAAAGTACAATAAAAAAAGTTGAAAAACTGACTCTCATATGTGAGAGTCACAGATATGTTGATGACTCTCATATCATGAGTCGGCACACCTGTGAAGCCGTGATTTCAATTAGGGGAGAAAGTCTGCAAGAGAAAATGGGGCTGCCATGCACAAATTTAGTCCACTATTGAGATAGTGACTTGTGTACTTAGATCAAACATACAGAAGGTGTTCACTCTCATGCGTAAAACCAGAATATGTGCGGGATTCATCCCATGTCTAGAACTTCCTGCAGGTGTCATTGTGACAAACATACACATTTGTCCAGCACCTGAGTGAGTAGACTCTCCTGTTTAAGCCCAGCTCACAAATAAAATTGGGACATATCATTGGACCTAGAACGTAGGTGATGTGGCTCTATTCTCTCGACTTGTGCTGCCCACAGGGAGCATTGTAACATATCACTGAACTTAACACCTAGGAGATTGGGGGCTCCTGCCTGAACTCTGCCCACAGGGAGGCAGAGCATATTTCTGCCTTGTAGCATATTTCTGCCTCCATCACCAGATGATGTGACTCTCCTTTCTGCCTGCACCTTGCCCACAGGAAAAATTCTGACATATCACTGGGCCTAGTAATCAGTAATCAGGTGATGTGTCTCTCCTGCCATGGCTTTACCCACAGGGAGTGTGGTGACATATCACTGAGCTCAATATTCAGGTGATTTGACTCTGCTGCTTGTACTCTGATTTCAGGAGGGGATTGTAACATATCCCAGGTGAGCACACAAGTGATGGGACTCCCTTCCTAGCCTCCGACCTCATAAAAGATTGTTACATATCCCTGGCCCAGCCTTAGGTATGTGACTCTCCTACCTGGTCCCTGCGACTCTCCTGCTCACTCCCTACCCACAGGAGAGATTGAAACATATATCTTGGCCAGCTCACAGGTGTAATAATGACTCTCATACCTCAAACCTGCCACTAAGAGAAATGCTGTTTTTCCTAGTGAGGCTTTGGAAAATCAGTAGGTCCTAAATCTTCTCTTTGTATGAGGGTCTTAGAGGAATACCACTCTCTCTTATATTATATAAAGCCCTTAAATGGTACAAAGAGTGTTACCACAGGGATATGTTGCATAACCTAGGGGAGGGGTCCAGTTATATGTCACAATTAGCCCAGGGGGCAGGGCACAGGCATGAGAAGAATCTCACCACATATGTGCTGGCCTAAGTGATACATCATCATCCCCACTGTGGACAGGTCGCAGTAAGAACAGGAGAGTCACATCATTCTTATAATGGTCTCAGATATACATCACAATGACTCCCCTGGGCAGAAAGAAGGGATAAGAGTCACATCACCTGTGGGCTAGGCCCAGAGATGTCACTCTTACTTCTGTGGGCATGTCTCAGGCTGGAGAGGAGAATCACATTACCTAAGCACTGGACCAAGAAATACGTCACAGTCTTTCTCATGGGCAAAGTCCAGGTAAGAGAATAGAGCCACATCAAATAGTTCATGGGCTCAGAGATATGTCACTATGCTCCCTGTGGGCAGGGTTCAGGTAGGACCCTTACATTACCTTGGTGCTGGTTCAGCAATATGTCCCAATGCCTTCTAAGGACAGAACAAAGACAAAAGAGTAAAATCATTTTGGTGTTTTACCCATCGATATGTCACAATCTTCCCCGTGGGCAGAACCTGAAAAAAGGGAAGAGTCATATTAGCTAAATGCTGCGCCTAGCGATAAGTCAAAATTCACCCTGTAAGCAGGGACTAGACAGAAGATAGAGTTACATCATCTGGTGGCTGGTGCAGGGATACGCCACCATGCCCTCTCTAGGCAGGATCCAGACAGGAGAGCTATGTTGCCTGTGTTTTGGACCCAAAAATATGTCACAAACGCCCATGGACAGAGCACAGGAAAGACAGGCACATAACCTGAATATCAGGTTCAGTGGTATGTCCCAATGCCTCCTGTGAGCATTCCAAGGCAGGAGAGGAGACTCACATTACCTGTGTGCAAGACCCAGTGATACGTCACACGGAGGAGTACCACTGTCTTGCATATTGTGTAAACTATGGTAGAGAAATTGTCACCAAAGGGCTCAGCACACTGGTGAGATTATACTTCTCAGATTCACACCACACCAATATTCAGGATGGTCTCTATCACATGTGGAGAGAGCCCACTCTTGAGGTCCTGAATTACACATGCAGACATAGTCCACAACTGGGATTCTGACTTTCATATGTGAACATCCAGCCACAGGTGGGATGGTGACTCATTTTTAAACGCAGCTCATAGGCAGTTAAGAACTCTTATTTGGACCCATCCAAGTAGAAAGATGTTGACTGTCATACCAGGGCTTAAAGCTAAAGGTACAAGGAGGGGTCCGTGCCTGCTTAAGGTTTCAGAGAGAATTGTTACACTCATGCATACTCTATAAAGGCTTCATATGGTGAAGAGAGTGTCCTGCTAGGGCCCAGAACAAAGGTGAGATTGTGATACTCATATGTACACTGAGCGAAGAGCAAAAATTGTCATCTTTTCACATGAACACAGCCCAATGTTAAGGTTCCGAATCTCACACCTGTTGATCTACCTGCTGATGGAATAGTCTGTCAAGAGAAAGCAGAGATGCACGAGCATCAATCTGGAAAACAGCAATAATGGTAGTGTGCACCAGGATTCAGATATCTTCCTAGTATTGTTTTCTCCAAACCTCTTTATTCGTAATTCACCATTTGTTTCATTGCCATTCGGGCAACTAGGTAGTAAGACCATTTTCTGCTAAGCAAGAGTAGGTATACAAGTAACAAATCCCTCTGGCCTCCTCCTGAATAGTTCAGAGAACAGATTCTAGTTCAGCCAGCTGGCTGCTAACACCCCTCCCTTCCTCAGAAATGCTTATGTTTTTAACAGGATTATAAGCCACGGCCTCCCAGCATCGGGTCCCATCAATATATTTGGTGGAATCATCAGCAAACCAAGCATGTCTCTGATCGTCTGGGCTTGGTTCTTTAAAGGATTTGCCCCATTGGGCAGGGGAGGTTTCCTTCCTTATCTGCAGGACTTGCTCAGTGGTTTGCTGAGCTGGCAAGTTTTGCACATCCTCATTTAAAAATGATACCTGTTTTGGTTCCGGCTTAGCCTGGTCTTGTATGTGCCATTTCCATTTACTTTCTTGAGTGTACCCTATCCAATGAGGTTTGAGGGAGTTCATGACCCAAGTCATATTAGGAATTTGGGGCCTCATAAAAACATCATGATTAAGACAAAGGTGTTCTGTTTCCTGTAAAGCCCAGTAGCAGGTCAACAGCTGCTTCTCAAAGAGTATAAGCTTTGCTAGCCTCTGACAGCTTCTGGGTCTAAAACCCCAAAGGTATCTCTTCCCATCTTGTTTCTACCTAAGGCTCCAATGAGCGTGTTGATCTAGGACAGTTACTTGCAGTTCTACTGGCCCATCCTGTAAGGGCCATACTGTTGCTCTGCTTGTTTGGCTGGTTGAAAAGCCACGCTCACTTTCTGTCTTCAGTGAAAGTCATAGCGTTTTCTAGTGACTGCATGCAGAGGTTGTAAAATGTTACCCAAATGGGGAATATGATGTCTCCAGAATCCAAACAAACCAATACAATTTTGGACCTCCTTTTCAGTGGTAGGGCTGCAAATTCTAGTATTTTAGCCTTAGCCTTTGGTAAAATGGACTGTTTCCCTGCATTCCATAGGATGCCAAGGAACTTTACAGTTTGTGGAGGTCCTTGAATTTTACTAGGGTTAACTTCCCATCCTTGAGATAGGATTTGGGTTTTTACCGGATCCAAGCCCCAGCTGACTAGTTCTTCAGTTTTACCCTGACTGGGCCACTCAGGCAGCTGCTTTTTTCAGCAATAGGCTGATAACTTTGAGGCTGATCAGTCAAGACATAGGCCTGGCCATGGGCCAGGGCCAGCCTGGAAGTCAGATTAGCATTTTCTTTTCTGGCTTACATTTCTGTTGTAGCAGCTGATTCCTATCTTGACACATTAACTTATAAGCAGTAAGCAAGCACCATCCATGCCGGGAAATTCTCTCAGCATCCCATTTACCAACTGGGATTCCCTGCACCTCCTCACACACAGCCAATGATTCAAAATGCACTAACTTAGATTGCCTATTTTCACAAACGTCAGCTCCCTTGGACCACTGAATGGCCAAGGGGAAGAACTAAGGGAGTTCCCATCTGAAGATATGGAAAGTCCCCGAGCTCCCAGTCTGGTCCCTGCACCAAAAAATGGCATGCTTTTGCTTTCGGATCCTGTTCGTGAAGCCAAAAATGTTCTGCGCAGGAAATGCTCAAGGAGAGAAGGAAACACACACACACACACACACACACACACACACACACACACACAATACCTTTAAGGGTAAACAAACTGTATCCCACGTAAATGGCAATGCAGATATAATAAGCAAATGATATAATAAGCAAGTTGCAATGGGACGGAGAGAAGGGAAAAGAGATATATATATTTACACTCATCAGACTATGGAGGATTCACCACCAGACTGCGAAGCAACAGACTGGGCTCCAGAGTTGGCCACTTGTCCGTGAACAGATGAGAAGAGATCTCATGAAGTTTTGGCACAGTCTGGAACTCTAGCTCTTTTTGTAATGAGTTATCTGGCATGACGTCCAGTCAGGAGGGCCCTTCATTTCTGGGCTCAAGGAAAAGAAAAAGGTCAACTTGTTTTTTTGATTGTCTGTTGTTTTTCAGTAACTAACATATAGGAATAAATTGAAATAGAGATTTATCCGAAACAGCGCTGGATGAAAGCCTCAAGGGGCTCACACAACCTGTTCCAGGACTTGGTGACCATTGTTTGAGTCCAGATTCAATTGAGTTCAAATTTAATATTTAAATTTTACTCCACAAAGTGTCAAAAGTAATTCCTTCAAATGCAGGAAATTATGTAACTACTCACAAACTAAACTTCTCAACCAAAAGTCATAAATTGAGTATAGGAATTAAAAAAAAAAAGAAAGAAAATCTAACTACATCTGTCTAAAGGGACTCAATTTATTTATTTATTTATTTTAGAGACTTGGTATTGCTTTGTTTCCCAGGCTGGTCTCAAACTCCTGGTTTCACGTGATCCTCCCACCTCAATCTCCTAAAATGCTAGGATGACAGATATGAGCCATCTTACTCTATAGTAACAAAAACAGACTAAATGTGGCAAGATGCATCCAAAAAATTATGCAAATCATAACCAAATGAGGACAGACTATGTCACAATTATAGTATGCAAAATGCTTTTTAAATAACTGTCTTAGTTTATAAAATATATTATGAAATCAAATTGTCAGAAAAACAAAGGACAAAATAATAAAAGGGTTTATTCACTGGAAACCTATGACAATTATACACATTTACATAATTGTGTGTATATATCTAATTATGTATTCACACCAATATGTATGCACCTTACATGAGTATTTTTAAATATCTCAATAATATCTTGACAGAACATAAGCAAAAACGGCAATATATTAAAAGTATAATATTTTAATACACCAGTTCTGTAATTAATAAAAAAGCCAGATAGAATATTAAAAAGTAAACAGACGACATGAAAATACTGTAAAGCAATTAGATATAACAGATGCATACAGAACACTCTACACAAAAACAAAACTCACAATCTTCTCAAAAGCTCATGAAACATTCTCCTAAAAATAACTATGAAGCCAAAAAACAATTCTGAACAGAATTTTTGAAAAATTGAATGTTACAAAAAATTCAAAAAATCAATGAATATAGGAGTTATTTTTTTGAAAAGATCAACAAAATAGACTGCTAGCAAGACTAATAAAGAAAAGAGAGAAGAATCAAAGAGAAGCAATAAAAAATGATAAAGGGGCTATCACCCCTGATCCCATAGAAATACAAACTACCATCAGAGAATGTTATAAACACCTCTACGCAAATAAACTAGAAAATCTAGGAGAAATGGGTAAATTCCTGGACATATACATCCCCCACAAGACTAAACAAGGAAGAAGTTGAATCTCTGAATAGACCAATAACAGGTTCTGAAATTGAGGCAATAATTAATAGCCTACCAACCAAAACAAGTCGAGGACCAGACGGATTCACAGCTACATTCTACCAGAGGTACAAAGGGGAGCTGGTACCAACCCTTCTGAAACTATTCCAATCAATGGAAAAAGAGGGAATCCTCTCTAACTCATTTTATGAGACCAGCATCATCCTGATACCAAAGTCTGGCAAAGACACAACAAAAAGAGAAAATTTTAAGCC
Source organism: Homo sapiens (assembly GCF_000001405.40). NCBI lineage: Eukaryota > Metazoa > Chordata > Mammalia > Primates > Hominidae > Homo > Homo sapiens. The sequence continues at coordinate 66,156 of NT_113930.2, read as the reverse complement.
AATATTCCTCATGAACATCGATGCAAACATTCTCAATAAAATACTGGCAAACCGAATCAGGCAGCACTTCAAAAAGCTTAACCACCAAGATCAAGTGTGCTTAATCCCTGGGATGCAGGTTCAACATATGCATATCAGTAAACATAATCCATCACATAAACAGAACAAATGACGAAAACCACATGATTATCTCAATAGATGCAGAAAAGGCCTTCGAAAAAATTCAACAGCCTTTCATGCTAAAAAATGCTCAATAAACTAGATATTGACAGAATGTACCTCAAAATAATAGGAACTATTTATGACAAACTCACAACCAATATCATGCAGAATGGGCAAAAACTGGAAGCACTCCCTTTGAAAACCGGCACAAGACAAGAATGTCCTCTCTCATCACTCCTATTCCACATAGTGTTGGAAGTTATGGCCAGGGCAATCAGGCAAGAGAAAGAAATAAAGCATATTCAACTAGGAAAAGAGGAAGTCAAATTGTCCCTGTTTGCAGATGACATGATTGTATATTTAGAAAACTCCGTCGTCTCAGCCAAAAATCTCCTAAGCTGATAAGCAACTTCAGCAAAGTCTCAGGATACAAAATCAATGTGCAAAAATCACAAACATTCCTACAATACCATACAGAGAGTCAAATCCTGAGTGAACTCCCATTCACAATTGCTTCAAAGAGAATAAAATACCTAGGAATCCAACTTACAAGGGATGTGAAGGACCTCTTTAAGGAGAACTACAAACCACTGCTCAACGAAATAAAAGAGGACACAAACAAATGGAAGAACATTCCGTGCTCATGGAAAGGAAGAATCAATATTGTGAAAATGGCCATGCTGCCCAAGGTAATTTATGGATTCAATGTCATCCCCACCAAGCTACCATTGACTTTCTTCACAGAATTGGAAAAAACTACCTTGAAGTTCATATGGAACCAAAAAAGAGCCCGCATAGTCAAGACAATCCTAAGCAAAAAGAACAAAGTTGGAGGAATCGCGCTACCTGACTTCAATCTATAATACAAGGCTACAGCAAGGAAAGCAGCATGGTACTGGTACCAAAACAGATACATAGACCAATGGAACAGAACAGAGGCCTCAGAAATAACACCAAACATCTACAACCATCCGATCTTTGAAAAAAACTGACAAAAACAAGCAATGGGGAAAGGATTCCTTATTTAATAAATGGTGCTGGGAAAACTGGCTGGCCATATGCAGAAAACTGAAACTGGATCCCTTCCTTACACTGTATACAAAAATTAAGTGAAAATGGATTAAAGACTTAAATGTAAGACCTAAAACCATAAAAACTTACAAGAAAACCTAGGCAATACCATAGGCATGGACAAAGACTTCATGACTAAAACACCAAAAGCAATGGCAACAAAGCCAAAATTGACAAACGGGACCTACTTAAACTAAAGAGCTTCTTGTAAAGGGCCCGCTAGGCATACCCAAAGCGGGCAGAAGGCTCCTCAGGGGAAGGTAAGGTTTGAGGGAGTGCAGGTGAGGCACCTGTGGCAGAAAAAAAAAAACGCAAAACAAAAAAAAAAAATTCGCCGCCAAGAAGCGTTCCTGGTTCCCCCACGGACGAAAGTGCCTTCCCATCAGTCCCTGCACTGGGCCTTGGATACTCTGGCGTCCCTGGTTCGAACCCAGGGAGCGACTCAGGCCCGCTAGGGGTACCCCAAAGCGGGCAGAAGGCCCCTGAGGGGAAGGTTAGGTTTGAGGAAAGGGAGGTGAGGCACCTGTGGATGAAAAAAAAAAAAAGAAAAAAACTCAGCGTCGAGACGCATTCCTGGGTCCCCCACGGAAGAAAGTGCCTTCCCATCAGTCCCTGCGCTGGGCCCCGGTGACCCTGGCGTCCCCGGTTCGAACCAAGGGTGCGTCTCGGGCCCGCTAGGGGTACCCCAAAGCGGGAAGAAGGTCCTTGAGGGGAAGTTAAGGTTTGAGGGAGGGGAGATGAGGCACCTGTGGCAGGAAAAAAAAAAACCGCGCCGCCAAGAAGCGGAGACTGGGTCCCCCAAGGACGAAAGTGCCTTCCCATCAGCCCCCGCGCATGGCCCCGTGAACCTGGCGTCCCTGGTTCGAACCCAGGGTGCGTCTCGGGCCCGCTAGGGGTACTCCAAAGCTAGCAGAAGGCCCTTGAGGGGAAGGTTAGGTTTGAGGGAGGGGAGGCACCTGTGGCAGGAAAAAAAAAACAAACCGAGCCGTCGAGAAGCCGAGACTGGGTCCCCCAGGGACGAATGTGCCTTCCCATCAGCCTCTGCTCTGGGCCTGGGGACCCTGGCGTCACTGGTTGAACACAAGGAGCGTCTCGGGCCCACTAGGGATACCTCAAAGTGGGCAGAAAGCCCCTGCGGGGAAGGTAAGGTGTGAGGGAGAGGAGGTGAGTCACCTGTGGCACAAAAAAAAAAAAAAAAACGCGCCACCGAGAAGCGTTCCTGGGTCCCCCACGGACGAAAGTTCCTTCCCATCAGCCCCTGTGCTGGACCGCGGGGACCCTGGCGTCCCTGCTTAGAACCCACGCAGCGTCTCGGGCCGGCTAGGGGTACACCAAAGCGGACAAAAGCCACTGAGGGGAAGGTAAGCTTTGAGGGAAGGGAGGTGAGGCACCCGTGGCAGGAAATAAAAAAAAAAAGCGCCCCGGAGAACCGGGGCCTGGGTCCCCCACGGACAAAAGTGCCTTCCCATCAGTCCCTGGGTTGGGCTCCGGTTACCATGGATCGCCGGTTCCAACTCAGGGCCCTCTCGGGCCCGCTAGGGGTACCACAAAGCGGGCAGAAGGCCCCTGAGGGGAAGTTAAGGTGTGAGGGAGGGGTGGTGAGGCAGCTGTAGCAGAAAAAAAAAGGAAAAAACAGCGCGCCTCCGAGTAGCGTTCCTGGGTCCTTCTCGGAAGAAAGTGCCTTCCCATCAGCCCCTGCGCATGGCCCCGGGACCCTGGTGTCCCTTCGAACCCAGGGAGAATCTCGGCCCGCTAGGGTTTCCCCAGTGCGGGCAGAAGGCCCCTGAGGGGAAGGTGGGGTTTGAGGGAGGGAAAGTGCAGCACCTGTGGCAGGAAAAAAAACAAAACAGAACTCGCCACCAGGAAGCGTTCCTGGGTCCTGCACGCACGAAAGTTCCTTCCCTTCAATCCCTGCGCTGGGACCCGGGGACCCTGGCGTTCCTGATTCCAACCCAGGGAGGGCCTCGGGCCAGCTAGGGGTATCGCAAAGTGGGCAGAAGGCCCCTGAGGGGAAGGTTAGGTTTGAGGGAGGGGATGTGAGGCACCTGTGGCAGGAAAAAAAAAAATCGCGCCGCCGAGAAGCGGGGCCTGGGTCCCCCATGCACGAAACTGCCTTCCCTTCAACCCCTGCTCTGGGTCCCAGGGAACCTGGCGCCCCTGATTCGAACCCATGGAGCTTCTCGGGCCCGCTAGGGGTACCCCAAAGCGGGCAGAAGGCCCCTGAGGTGAAGGTAAGATTTGAGGGAGGGGAGGTGAAGCACCTGTGTCAGGAAAAAAAAAAAAAAAAATCAACCGCGCTGCCGAGAAGCGTTCCTAGGTCTTCCACGGACGAAAGTGCCTTCCCATCAGCCCCTGCACATGGCCCCGGACCCTGGTTCGAACCCAGGGAGCGTCTCGGTCCCGCTATGTGTACCCCAAAGCGGGCAGAAGGCCCCTGAGGGGAAGGTTAGGTTTGAGGGAGGGGAGGTGAGTCACATGTGGCAGGGAAAAAAAAGAAAAAAAAAGAAAAAAAAACCTCACAGCCGAGAAGCGGGGCCTGTGTCCCCCATGCACGAAAGTGCCTTCCCATCAGCCCTCGCTCACAGCCCCGGGACCGTAGCGTACCTGGTTCGAAACCAGGGTGCAAACAAAACTATTATCAGATTGAACAGGCAACCTACAGAATGGGAGAGAATTTTTGCAATCTACCCATCTGACAAAGGGCTAATATCAGGAATCTACAAATAGCTAAAACAAATTTACAAGAAAAAAAAACAACCCTATCAAAAAGTGGGGAAAGGATATAACAGACACTTTTCAAAGGAAGACATTTATGCAGCCAACAGACATATGAAAAATTGCTCATCATTGGTCATCAGAGAAATGCGAATCAAATCCACAATGAGATATCATCTCACGCCAGTTAGAATGGCGATCTTTAAAATTTCAGGAAACAACAGATGCTGGAGAGGATGTGGAAAAATAGAAACACTTTTACACTGTGGGTAGGAGTGTAAATTAGTTCAACCATTGTGGAAGACAGTGTGGTGATTCCTCAGGGATCTAGAACCAGAAATACCTTTTGACTCATCAATCCCATTACTGGGTATATACCCAAAGAGTTATAAATCATGCTACTATAAAGACACACACACACATATGTTTATTGCGGCATTATTCACAATAACAAAGTCTTGGAACCAACGCAAATGTCCATCAATGATAGATTGGATTAAGAAATTGTGGAGCATATACAGCATGGAATACTATGCAGCCATAAAAAGGATGGGTTCATGTCCTTTACAGGGACATGGATGAAGATGGAAACCATCATTCTCAGCAAACTATCACAAGGACTTCAAACCAAACACCGCATGTTCTCACTTATAGGTTGGAGTTGAACAATGAGAACACATGGACACAGGGCGGGGAACATCTCACATTGGGGCCTGTTTGGGGGTGACGGACTATGAAAGGAATAGCGTTAGGAGAAATACCTAATGTAAATGATGAGTTGATGGGAGCAGCAAACCAACATGGCACATGTATACCTGTGTAACAAACCTGCACGTTCTGCACATGTACCCTAGAACTTAAAGTATAATAAAAAAATTGAATGTTACATACTATAATTTCTGACCAAAAAGGATTAAAACTAGCAATCGATAACAGAAGAAAATTCATACAATTCACAAATATGTAAAAATTAAGCAATTTACTCTTGAACATGCTTTTGTTCAAGAGTTAGAAAACTTACTATTTTGAACATGTCTATAATGCCAAAAGTGACCTACAGATTTAATACAATCCCTATAAAATTCTTAATTTTATTTTTGACAGATACAGAAAATGTGACTCCCAAAAGTATATGGAATTTCAGGAGACCACAAAGAACTCTACAGTTTTCAAAAAGAGAAAAATTTTGGAAACATTACAGTTCCTGTTTTCAAAACCTGTTACAAATCTACAGTAATCTAAGTAGTTTGTTACTGGCATAAAGACAGACAAATAGACTAATAAAACCGAGTGCAAAAAAGATGTAAACGCTCACGTATTTATTGTAGCTTTACTTACAAAAATCAATAGGTTAAAGCAATCCATACTTCCCTCAACAAACAAATGAATGGGTACAATTTGGAATATAAAAACAATAGAATATTACCCAGCTTTTGAAAAGCAGAAAACCTTTTATCTATAATAAAAATAAAATCTTGATGACATTATGCTAAATAAAATAAGCCAGCTACAAGACAGATACTGAGTGTATCCACATGTATAAAATATCTAAAGTAGTAACATCCTTAGAAACAGAGAATAAGATAGCATTTGTAAAGGGCTGAACAAAGGAGAAGACAGGCAGTTGTTTCAGGTGTATTGAGTTTTAGTTTTGTAAGATAAAAATGTTCTAGAGATACGTCGAATAATGTCAATGTGCTGAAAAGTCTAAACTATATAATTATTGTCATTGTAAATTATTGTAAAATTGTAAATAATTGTCAATTTTATATGTTTCTTATAACAATGTAAACAATAATAATATCTAAGTGAGATACCGTTTTAATGCATTTCAATAATTATCTTCAGGACCTCGGCAAAACCTGAGTCCTGTCCTCTCGCTTTCCTCCCCGTACACAGCGAGCTTCACCACTTGCTCCGCACCTTCTCCATCAACTACTACCTGTCCCTGGGATCTGTCCAGTCGCCCAGCTAAAGTGCTCAGCAGGTCAGCAGCGCGGCGAGCTTCTATGAGGCGTGGGGTCTGGGGCTCCTGGATCTCTGTGTCCCATTTCACAGAGATTGCCACCTACTGCCGCCTGCTAGAAGATGGGGAGGACTTCAATCTTGGTGGTATTCTGGACAGCAGCAAATACCTGTAAAGCATCCAAAAGACCAACACCCACAGGATAGTGGACGGCAAAGTGGTGTTTGAGACCAACATCACAGACGTCTTGAGGTGCTAAACCAGCAGAAGCAAGGTCCCTTTGCGGAGCAGGAGGGCAATAAAAACTTCTGTGGTCAAAAAAAAAAAAAAAAAAAAAATTACCCCCGCATCACAGAGGTGTTTTCCTCACGCAAACGTAATATAGATTCATTAATACATAGATGTGGAAATTAGGGCAATTTCCACAACTACTCACCCAGAGAGGATTAAAAAAATAATTGACCACCAACTAATTAAATAAATACAGAAGTCATAAATAAAGCATGAGTAATGTTTATACAGTCAAACGAACAGAGAATTATGTTTGCAATACACATATGGTTGATTCATATTTGACTTTTTTTCTACACTCTTTTAAAGTGTACACAGTTAAATATAGTCATAAAAAATTATAACATATAAGCAGAAACTAAAAACACAATTAAATGATGTAAGACAGCCTATCCTAACAGGAAAATACAGGAATATAAAATATTACAAAACAAAATTGGATAAACATTAACCTGTGAAATACTGAATAAACAAATCATGCAACTGAAGAAGACTCTTTCTAGATAACTGAAATATTCAACCATAACTGGACACCCATAAAGAACAGATTTTGAATTATTAGCATATGGTTAGAGTAACAAAATTTCACAACAAATGCATTATAATCTTCTATAAAGAACATTTAGAAGAAAATTTTAATGAAGATTTCAATGATATTAGAGAACAGAGTCTCGCTCTGTTACCCAGGCTGGAGTGTAGTGGCGAGACCTCGGCTCACTGCATCCTCCACCTACCAGGCTGAAGCAATTCTCTGCCCCAGCCTCCCGAGTAGCTGGGATTATAGGCACCCGCCCCCATGCCCTGCTCATTCTTTCTGTGGTTTTTGTGGAGACGGGGTTTCACCATGTTGGCCAGGCTGGTCTTGAACCCCTGACATTGTGATCCACCCACCTCAGCCTCTTAAAGTACTGGGATTACAAGCGTGAGCCACCGCACTGGCCTATAATTTGTTTTTTTTTTTAAGTAAAGAAAAGCTTTACATTTTTAAATATGGGAACAACATGAATACTGAAAAATATGCAATGAAACACTACTACATAATAAGCAATGAGAAATAAATTATACTATCATTCAGATAATGTTGAGGAAAGTTAATAGAAACACTAATGATAAGTTTTTCTATGCAGTAAACTTAGACACACAAACTGAAATTTTATTAATGTGAGGTGCATACTAAGTAATTCACTTTTTATATAACACATAAATTCAAGTATGCTATTCTGAAATCCCTGAAGCTAAAATTATAGGCTAATTTGGGATACATAAAAATCAAAAAGTGAAAACGTGCAGATCACAGTCCCACTAAGCTTTATATAAGATTAAATAATAAAATAACTCAATAAGAAATCATGTAACAATTAAGAATTTATTCTATTCTTGGCAGGTTTCTAAGTTTTTCTATGGCATTAAGGTCTTTAAAAATTCTTTGAGGTGAGTAGATACAATAAACTATTCCACAGGTGAGGTGCTTGGCATAGAGAGTTCACGTTTTTAAGTTAATTTCTACCAAGGAAAAGAAAACTTTTTGACCTACATTACCAGAGATGAAAAAAAGAATAAAGTGAAATAGAAGCTTCACTATATCATATGTGCTGAGGTGTTTTGGGCTCTGATAAAAGTTTTTCCGATTTTTTTGCAGGATCACATTTGAAATCATAGGACTGAAAATTATGAAGCAGAAACATTTGTCCTTGGTGTTTCTGAAATATGTGAACCAAACCCCAATGCCTGCACTTTTACTCTCACAAACTTCTGACATGAGGAACAGATTTTTACAAAATAGCTTAATATAGAAGTCTCGCAAAATGTGCAGATTTCCCCAGATCCCCCAAAACAATGGAAAAGCACTCAGACCACAAGGCCTTCAAGGGAATAACAGAAAGAAGAGGAGAACTTCGGCTGTCACTGTGAATGCCCTGGAATGTTAGTGGAGGGACAGGAGGAGCCTTAGAAGATTTAGGAGCATAATAAGCATAGGGTAGGAAATGTCCATCTGTGGCAGCAAAAGAAGTAAATCTAGGATCTTCCAGAACCAATTTCATTGAAGCGAACTTCCCACATCACATTTTTAAAGTTTCCTCCTTGGCCTTTGCACCTCTCATCTTTGTTATTTGTTCATTATTGCCTATTGGGGTGATGCCTATTATTTTCTCTCTTTTTACATTCCAAAGATATTTCCTTTACTGTAGAACAGGGGCATCCAAGGGAGAATCTCACCACGACCCCAGGTCTAGAGCGCCCGGAGTCCGCCATCCCTGGGAATGGAGGCGGCTTCGGCCTGGGGTCGTGGTGAGATTCGTTGGTGGCTGCGCGATTGTGGCGGAGTTGCAAGCAAACGGGTTTCATCACCTTAAATGGTTTTGAACCAAAGAAGCTGTATTCCCTTAAAAAGACGGACAACCCATCGTGTGAACTATAGAGTTTGTGAACAAATTTATATTGGGTTCATAGTGGCGTCATGCACGCAGACTCCTGCGAGTTCCCCTAAGTTCTTAGAGGACTGCTTTGCCTTTTGATCTGAGAGTTGCAAATTTCCCTAAAGAATGGCCCTTGTGGATAAGCGCTAAGTCAAGAGACAGTGATTGGACAGAATTTGTGAGGAATTCGCCCCCAGATCATGAAAGTCACCCTGAACCCCGCCTCGTGGTGGCTCTGCTGGATGGACGGGACTGCACTGTGGACATGCCCATCCTGAAGGACCTGGCCACCTGGCCTTCTGTGAGGCTCAGTCCATGCAGGAGATCCACGAGAAAGTTCTAAACGAAGTCGTGGGCGCCATGATGTACCACACCTTCTCCCTCACCAGGGAAGACCTGGAAAATTTCAAGGCCCTGAGAGTGATCGTGCAGGTGGGCAGTGGCTACGACAACGTGGCCATCAAGGCTGCTGGCGAGCTCGAAATTGCTGTGTGCAGCATCCCGTCCGCAGCCGTGGAAGAGACAGCCGACTCCACCACCGGCCACATCCTCAATCTGTACTGGGGGAACAGGTCGCTGTACCAGGCACTGAGGGAAGGCACGCGAGTTCAGAGCGTGGAGCAGATTGGCGAGGTGGCCTCAGTAAAGGCTCGCATTCGTGGGGAGATATTGGGCCTCATCGGCTTCGGTCGCACGCAGCAGGAGGTTGCAGTTCGAGCCAAGGCCTTTGCAGGATGGGATCGAGCGGTCCCTGGGTGTGCATAGGGTCTACACCCAGCAGGATTTGCTGTATCAGAACGACTGCGTCTTCTTGCATTGCAATCTCAACGAACAAAACTACCACCTTATCCATGACTTTACTATAAAGCAGATGAGGCAGGGAGCATTCCTTGTGAACGCAGCCCGTGGTGGCCTGGTGGACGAGAAAGCCTGAGCACACATCCTCAAGGAGGGCAGAATACGAGGGGCAGCCCTCGACGTGAATGAGTCGGAGCCCTTTAGTTTTGCTCGGGGTCTGTTGAAAGATGCCTGGAATCTCATCTGCACTCCTCTCACTGCCTGCTACAGCCAGCAGGTGTCACTGGAGATGAGCGAGGCAGTTGCCACTGAGATCCGCCAAGCCATCATAAGTCGCATCCCGGGAAGCTTAAGAAACTGTGTGAACAAGGAATTCTTTGTCACATCAGCGCTTTGGTCCGTAATAAACCAGCAAGAAATTCATCCTGAGCTCAGTGGTGCTACCTACAGATATCTGCCAGGCATGGTGGGCGTGGCTCCAGGAGGACTTCTGCAGCCAGGGAAGACATCATCCCTGGAGACATCCCAGTGACTGACAACCTCCCAACAGTGGTACATCCTTCCCAAGGGCCCTCTCCCAACAGCCCACAAAACACGGGGACAGTCGAGAGCATCCCAACGAGCAATAGCAGAGAATGCCGGAAGGTAATTATTCAGATATACTTGGGAACAGTGAAAAATAGATAATCTAAGAGAAAAAGAATCTGACGGCCTTTTTAGCTGATTCCGGACATATGCATCATTGTTGTTGCAGTGTTAAAACAAGAGCTAGAAAACTGACAATGTCGTCTGCTTACGGAAGCTCTGAAAGACTAGGGTGTGATTTATTAACGCCCAACTTCTATTATTGTGTGTTAAGTTTTTCATCTGTGCATCAAATCACAAAGAATAAATAGAACTTTTCCCTTTATCAGTCCCTTAGGCACAGCAGGTCCTGAACACCCTGCTTATATGTTGCATCAGCAGTTCAAATATGAAAATAAAAACCATGAAGAGGAAATCCGCATCCTGTGACTGGAGTCCCTTCAGTCTACAGGGACTGGTTACCGCTTTTTGCTAATAGGAAGATTACATTACTAGAAAATGTGGAGTAAACTGTTTGCCTGTGGTAAACACCTGCATGCAAAGGATTGAAGACAGTACCGGCTCCTGTACAGAGACGCGTCTCTCACATCTGAGCTGCATATTGAGCGGCAAGTTGGTTGTAAGTTCAGTAAAAGCCGCTGATGATGCAAAAAAAAAAAAAAAAGTATTAAGTTTCACAAGTTGTTAGTAATCAAGTATATTTTCTCAGTTTCAGATCCTCTGCGATTTTATTGAGTGGAAAGTCTTGCGCTGAAAGGGTTCAAGAAAAATAATATTGCATTTCCTTATGTCACAGGAAACACTTTTAATGGTAACTTGTCAGACTATGAACAAACCCACTTTTTAAGATATTGATAAAGTCTTCTTTTCTTCACGTGATATTTTATACAAGTACACTTCAGATGTATTGGATGTGGCTGATTTTAACAAATCCTATTAGATTTGTATCAATTAGTTACATGTTCTATTCATAGTCTTTTGTGAATCATTGCCTTTTTGTTTAAAAAGATGGCCTATTTTGAGCCTTTGTATAAGTACATTCCTGTTTTTGTGACAAAAGAAAAACTTTAAATTTGTCCCAAAGAGAAAAATAATGGCTATCAGAAGTATGCTTTGTTTTAGTGCGAGTTACCGTTACTGTATTTGTGTATTGTAAAGGTGGACATTCTAATTACATTAAAATGTAATTAGAAAAAAGTGCTTAATGAACAAAAACAGAACATAGACAACAAAAGAATATTAGAAGTGATGCATGAAGAAAACGAGATATCAATAAAAAGATTTTTAAAAACCAAGAAAAATTGTGACTCTGAAGAACACAGTAACTATATTAAAAATTTAATCAGCAGTCACAAAAGTGGATTTAATAAAGCAGAAAAAATTAGACAGTTGATAACATTGCACTTATAAATACTGATTCATGAAAACAAATTTTTTAAACAGAATAGAGAAAAAATGAAAATTGGGACTTACTTACAGCACACCACCAAGTGGACCACTGTATTTATAAAAGGAGTCTTAGAAAAACAGTATAGGAGAAAAATAATAAAGAGGATATTTTTAAAAAGTAGCTGAGAACTCCCTAGATGACAAGGTAATTAAACAAGAAGAAATCATGCTAAACAAAAACCTTCAACTGGAATAATTTCACTTCAGAAAAAAAAGTTAAGCATTTCCAAAACAAATAAAAGTTGAGTGTGTTACTGACCACTGGAACACTGCTAAAGGAAATGTAAAAGAAAGTCTATCACGTCCAAAAATGACAATATATGCTGCACAGCGTCATAAAAGCATATGAAAATAGAAAGCTCTCTATTAAATGTAAATACATAAACAGCTATAGAAACCTCTACTGTCATAATGATGGTGCACAAAACTTTCACGTTATTGCTATGGAATTTAAAAAATGAAGCAGAAAGCTGCATAAATATGGGTTCATAGATACTCAATAAGAAAAGATAACAAGTGATATTAATAACAAAGTGGGGGTATAAAGAGGTAAAGCTTTGCATTCCATTGAAATATAGTCATTATATATTGTCATAACTTTAAGATGTTTTATGAAGTCTTTATTTCTCAAGATGATTACAAAAAAACCTGTAGATGGTATGCAGAAGCAAATGAGAAAGAAACTGAATCATGTCACTACAAAATCAATGAAGAAAAATAAAGCAGTAAGAGAAAAAAATGATAAATAACACATCTACAAGAAACACAGAAGACAATTCCAAATAATAATAGTAACTTCATTAACTACAGTAATTACTTCAAATACAAAAAGTTAAATACCTTAAACAAAATGCAGAAAATGATTTAATGGATTAAGAACAAAGAAGATCCAGCAATGTACTCTCTACAAGAGTCATTTTAGCTCTAAGGACCCAAATAAGTTGAAAGTAGCAGTATAAAGAAAATATATTTTATGCAAAGAGTAGCTACAATTGGAGGGGCATGGTCATAATTATATTAAACAAAATATATTTTAAGTTAAAAATTTTAAAAAGAGACAGATTGTTATTAAGTAACGGTGACATGGATTAACTTGCAAGAAATCCATAACAATAATTTAGAAATCATATATATAATTTGAAAAATCTGCAAAAATATACCATTGGGATTTTGATAAAAATTACATTAAATTTTTATATTACTATAAATAACACTGATATCTTTCTTATTTTTTTTTTTGGAGATAGAGTTTCTGTCTCCCAGGCTGGAGGACAATGGCACGATCTCGCGATTGGCTCACTTCAACCTCCACCTCCCAGGTTCAACTGATTCTCGTCTTTCAAATATGTAAAACCAATATTGACAGAAGTCAAGCAAGAAATATATAGCAACACAACAATTGCGGACTCCAAGACTCCACTTTCAATAATGACTAGAATAGTCAGATGTAATATCAGTAAGAAAGCCAAACCTGAACATTATAGACCTAACAAGCATTTACAGAACTCTGCGATCGAAAGCAGCAAAATATGCAATATTCTCAATCACACATGGCACATTCTGTTAGGATACATGTCTTATTAAATTTAAGAAAACTGAAGTCATGCAATGTAAATGAAACTAGAAATCAAAAGCAAGAAAATGTTTCAGATACGTAAATAAGAGGAAATTAAGCAAGATCTTACATATAGTCTTGCTCAAGTGTCAGGTGATTTAATATTGTTAAGATGTCAGGGCCGGCACGTGACTCATGCCTGTAATCCCAGGACTTTGGGAGGCCAAAGTGTGTGGATCACTTGAGATCAGAAGTTTGAGACTAGCCTGGCCAACATGGCAAAACCCTATCTCTACTAAAAATACAAAAGTTAGCTATACATGTTGGTGCATGACTGTAATCCCAGCTACTCTGGTGGCTGAGACTGGAGAATTGCTTGAACATGGGAAGCAGAGCTTGCAGTGAGCACAGCTCACACCACTGCCCTTCAGCCTGAGTGACTCACTAAAACTCCATCTCCAAAGGAAAAAAAAAAAGTTGTCAGTATTACCCATGATGATATAAAAATGTAATGTAATTTTCATCTAAATCCCAATGGTATTTTTTTTGCAGAATTTTTGTGTATAATTCTAAAAGTTGTTTAGGAACTGTGACTAGGCAAACACCCTTTAAAAAGGACAAAGAGTTATTACATTTTCTGATTTAAAATCATGATACAAAGCTACAAAAATAAAAACAATATGGTATTGCCACAAAAACGGATACATAGATGATGAAACAGAATAGACATCCTGGAAATAAACCCTCGCATACGTGATAAAATAATCTTCCATATGCTTTCCATGACCATGCAATAGAAAAATAAGAATCTCTTTAACAAAGAATTTTCAAAATTGAATGTTTACAGAGCAAAAATAAAGTTGGATGCTTCTTTTGTATTATACATAAAAAGAAAAGTTGTTTTATAATGGATTTAATGCTTAAACATAAAAACTAATAAAATTCTTAGAAGTAAACATAGGGGAAAAGTTTATGACATAAGTCTTAAAACTTTGCTTAAGTATGACATCAAATTCATAAGAAACAAGGAAAAGAACAAAAAAGAAAGGAACTACATTAACCTTCAAGTATTCTACACATCAAGGAAAAATTTAGTGGCATACAAATGTCACCTAATAAGTGGGTGAAACCTGGGCATGCTGGCTCATGCCTATAATTCTAGAAATTTAGGAGGCCAAGTCAGAACGATCATTTGAGGCCAAAAGTTTGAGACTAGCCATGAAAATATATCAAGACCCTGTCTTGTATAGGGTAATATATGTGCATACATACATACATATAACAAAAAAGTGTAAAAATATTTTCTAATCACATATTTCGTAGGTGTTAATTTCCAAAAGATATAAACTTCTAAAATTCAACAACAACAAAATGTTAATAACTTGATTTAGAATGGTAAATGTTTGAAATGACCTTTCTCCAAAGAAGACATAGAAATGACTAGGTATTTAAAAGGATACTCGTCCGAGGGCAGGACTATGGGAGGCTGCCCTGTACGGAAAATAAGAAGAAATGGCAGTAAAGAGGGCAACCATCATTCCACCCAGCCCAAAAGGAATAAGAGAAACCCTATCTTTCAGGATTCTCAAGACACAGTTTTCATGGAGTGATAATGAAAGGAGCAGCAGCCGCCTTAATATCCCAGAGAGAGCAGGTGGACCAGAAAGCAACTTAAACCAGATTGTTACTGAACCCAATGCAAACTTTCCCCAGTTCTTGCATGAGGGGTATGTACCATGCCAAGGTCTTTACTCCCATATCAACCAGACCTTGAAGGAGGCTCACTTCAACAGCCTGCAGCAGTGAGGGCAAGCTCCAACATGATGAATTAGGACTTCCTTATTCCAACCTAAACTGTGTTTATAAAAGTAATTGCATACAAACTAAAAAAAAAGTCTATTGGTTTTTAAGTCTAAATTTTAAGTAACAAGTTAATGGGCAGTAGTTTAATTGGGGTTTTACTTCACTGCTATACTTTTAAAGGGGCTGTGAATAAATGTTTATGAAATTAAAAAAATAAAAAATAAAAGGATACTCGACATCACTCTTCTAGAAAAATGCAAAGCAAAGTCACAATAATCTACGGCCTCAAGCCGATATTTAAAATAGTATGACAGCTCTTCAAAAAATTTAAAATGAGATTATTATATAATCCAGCAAACCCCCTTCTGGCTATGTACTTAAAATGTACAACGCAGATCTGGAAGAGATATTTGCACAACCAAATTTATTGCAATATTATTAACACAAGCCAAAAGGCAGAAACAATCCAGATGTCCCTTGACCAATGAACAGATTAATAACAAGTGGCACATACACAAAGTCGAATATTATTCAGTCTTTAAAAAGACACATTATATGATAATTCTGGAGAAGATCATGTTAATTGAAATAAGCCAGGAACAAAGTGACAGTCTATGATTCCATTCATAATCAGGTATCTTAAGTAGATAAACTCATAGGAAAAAAAAGTTAGAATGGTGCTTGTCAAGGACTGAAGAGATGGTAAAATGGGCAGTTGTTTTATTTTTTATTTTTTTATTTTTTTTATTTTTTTAAATTATACTTTAAGTTTTAGGGTACATGTGCACATTGTGCAGGTTAGTTACATATGTATACATGTGCCATGCTGGTGTGCTGCACTCACTAACTCGTCGTCTAGCATTAGTTGTATTTCCCAATGCTATCCCTCCCCCCTCCCCCCACCCCACAACAGTCCCCAGAGTGTGATATTCCCCTTCCTGTGTCCATGGGATCTCATTGTTCAATTCCCACCTATGAGTGAGAATATGCAGTGTTTGGTTTTTTGTTCTTGCGGTAGTTTACTGAGAATGATGATTTCCAATTTCATCCATGTCCCTACAAAGGACATGAACTCATCATTTTTTATGGCTGCATAGTATTCCATGGTGTATATGTGCCACGTTTTCTTAATCCAGTCTATCATTGTTGGACATTTGGGTTGGTTCCAAGTCTTTGCTATTGTGAATAATGCCACAATAAACATACGTGTGCATGTGTCTTTATAGCAGCATGATTTATAGTCCTTTGGGTATATGCCCAGTAATGGGATGGCTGGGTCAAATGGTATTTCTAGTTCTAGATCCCTGAGGAATCGCCACACTGACTTCCACAATGGTTGAACTAGTTTACAGTCCCACCAACAGTATAAAAGTGTTCCTATTTCTCCACATCCTCTCCAGCACCTGTTGTTTCCTGACTTTTTAATGATTGCCATTGTAACTGATGTGAGATGGTATCTCATTGTGGTTTTGATTTGCATTTCTCTGATGGCCAGCGATGATGAGCATTTTTTCATGTGTTTTTTGGCTGCATAAATGTCTTCTTTTGAGAAGTGTCTGTTCATGTCCTTTGCCCACTTTTTGATGGGGTTGTTTGTTTTTTCTTGTAAATTTGTTTGAGTTCATTGTAGATTCTGGATATTAGCCCTTTGTCAGATGAGTAGGTTGTGAAAATTTTCTCCCATTTTGTAGGTTGCCTGTTCACTCTGATGGTAGTTTCTTTTGCTGTGCAGAAGCTCTTTAGTTTAATTAGATCCCATTTGTCAATTTTGTCTTTTGTTGTCATTGCTTTTGGTGTTTTGGACATGAAGTCCTTGCCCATGTCTATGTCCTGAATGGTAATGCCTAGGTTTTCTTCTAGGGTTTTTATGGTTTTAGGTCTAATGTCTAACTCTTTAATCCATCTTGAATTGATTTTTGTATAAGGTGTAAGGAAGGGATCCAGTTTCAGCTTTCTACATATGGCTAGCCAGTTTTCCCAGCACCATTTATTAAATAGGGAATCCTTTCCCCATTGCTTGTTTTTGTCAGGTTTGTCAAAGATCAGATAGTTGTAGATATGCGGCATTATTTCTGAGGGCTCTGTTCTGTTCCATTGATCTATATCTCTGTTTTGGTACCAGTACCATGCTGTTTTGGTTACTGTAACCTTGTAGTATAGTTTGAAGTCAGATAGTGTGATGCCTCCAGCTTTGTTCTTTTGGCTTAGGATTGACTTGGCGATGCAGGCTCTTTTTTGGTTCCATATGAACTTTCAAGTAGTTTTTTCCAATTCTGTGAAGAAAGTCCTTGGTAGCTTGATGGGGATGGCATTGAATCTGTAAATTACCTTGGGCAGTATGGCCATTTTCACGATATTGATTCTTCCTACCCATGAGCATGGAATGTTCTTCCATTTGTTTGTATCCTCTTTTATTTCCTTGAGCAGTGGTTTGTAGTTCTCCTTGAAGAGGTCCTTCACATCCCTTGTAAGTTGGATTCTTAGGTATTTTATTCTCTTTGAAGCAATTGTGAATGGGAGTTCACTCATGATTTGGCTCTCTGTTTGTCTGTTGTTGGTGTATAAGAATGCTTGTGATTTTTGTACATTGATTTTGTATCGTGAGACTTTGCTGAAGTTGCTTATCAGCTTAAGGAGATTTTGTGCTGAGACAATGGGGTTTTCTAGATATACAATCATGTCATCTGCAAACAGGGACAATTTGACTTCCTATTTTCCTAATTGAATACCCTTTATTTCCTTCTCCTGCCTAATTGCCCTGGCCAGAATTTCCAACACTGTGTTGAATAGGAGTGGTGAGAGAAGGCATCCCTGTCTTGTGCCAGTTTTCAAAGGGAATGCTTCCAGTTTTTGCCCATTCAGTATGATATTGGCTGTGGGTTTGTCATAGATAGCTCTTATTATTTTGAAATACGTCCCATCAATACCTAATTTGTTGAGAGTTTTTAGCATGAAGGGTTGTTGAATTTTGTCAAAGGTTTTTTCTGCATCTATTGAGATAATCATGTGGTTTTTGTCTTTGGCTCTGTTTATATGCTGGATTACATTTATTGATTTGCATATATTGAACCAGCCTTGCATGCCAGGGATGAAGCCCACTTGATCATGGTGGATAAGCTTTTTGATGTGCTGCTGGATTCGGTTTGCCAGTATTTTATTGAGGGTTTTTGCATCAATGTTCATCAAGGATATTGGTCTATAATTCTCTTTTTTGGTTGTGTCTCTGCCCAGCTTTGGTATCAGAATGATGCTGGCCTCACAAAATGAGTTAGGGAGGATTCCCTCTTTTTCTATTGTTTGGAATAGTTTCAGAAGGAATGGTACTAGTCCCTCCTTGTACCTCTGGTAGAATTCAGCTGTGAATCCATCTGGTTCTGGACTCTTTTTGGTTGGTAAACTATTGATTATTGCCACAATTTCAGATCCTGTTATTGGTCTATTCAGAGATTCAACTTCTTCCTGGTTTAGTCTTAGGAGAGTGTATGTGTCGAGGAATTTATCCATTTCTTCTAGATTTTCTAGTTTATTTGCGTAGAGGTGTTTGTAGTATTCTCTGATGGTAGTTTGTATTTCTGTGGGATCGGTGGTGATATCGCCTTTATCATTTTTTATTGCGTCTATTTGATTCTTCCCTCTTTTTTTCTTTATTAGTCTTGCTAGCAGTCTATCAATTTTGTTGATCCTTTCAAAAAACCAGCTCCTGGATTCATTGATTTTTTGAAGGGTTTTTTGTGTCTCTATTTCCTTCAGTTCTGCTCTGATTTTAGTTATTTCTTGCCTTCTGCTAGCTTTTGAATGTGTTTGCTCTTGCTTTTCTAGTTCTTTTAATTGTGATGTTAGGGTGTCAATTTTGGATCTTTCCTGCTTTCTCTTGTGGGCATTTAGTGCTATAAATTTCCCTCTACACACTGCTTTGAATGCGTCCCAGAGATTCTGGTATGTTGTGTCTTTGTTCTCATTGGTTTCAAAGAACATCTTTATTTCTGCCTTCATTTCGTTATGTACCCAGTAGTCATTCAGGAGCAGGTTGTTCAGTTTCCATGTAGTTGAGCGGTTTTGAGTGAGATTCTTAATCCTGAGTTCTAGTTGAATTGCACTGTGGTCTGAGAGATAGTTTGTTACAATTTCTGTTATTTTACATTTGCTGAGGAGAGCTTTACTTCCAACTATGTGGTCAATTTTGGAATAGGTGTGGTGTGGTGCTGAAAAAAATGTATATTCTGTTGATTTGGGGTGGAGAGTTCTGTAGATGTCTATTAGGTCCACTTGGTGCAGAGCTGAGTTCAATTCCTGGGTATCTTTGTTGACTTTCTGTCTCGTTGATCTGTCTAATGTTGACAGTGGGGTGTTAAAGTCTCCCATTATTAATGTGTGGGAGTCTAAGTCTCTTTGTAGGTCACTCAGGACTTGCTTTATGAATCTTGGTGCTCCTGTATTGGGTGCATATATATTTAGGATAGTTAGCTCTTCTTGTTGCATTGATCCCTTTACCATTATGTAGTGGCCTTCTTTGTCTCTTTTGATCTTTGTTGGTTTAAAGTTTGTTTTATCAGAGACGAGGATTGCAACCCCTGCCTTTTTTTGTTTTCCATTTGCTTCGTAGATCTTCCTCCATCCCTTTATTTTGAGCCTATGTGGGTCTCTGCACGTGAGATGGGTTTCCTGAATACAGCACACTGATGGGTCTTGACTCTTTATCCAATTTGCCAGTCTGTGTCTTTTAATTGGAGAATTTGGTCCATTTACATTTAAAGTTAATACTGTTATGTGTGAATTTGATCCTGTCATTATGATGTTAGCTGGTTATTTTGCTCGTTAGTTGATGCAGTTTCTTCCTATTCTCGATGGTCTTTACATTTTGGCATGATTTTGCAGCGGCTGGTACTGGTTGTTCCTTTCCATGTTTAGTGCTTCCTTCAGGAGCTCTTTTAGGGTAGGCCTGGTGGTGACAAAATCTCTCAGCATTTGCTTGTCTGTGAAGTATTTTATTTCTCCACTTATGAAGCTTAGTTTGGCTGGATATGAAATTCTGGGTTGAAAATTCTTTTCTTTAAGAATGTTGAATATTGGCCCCCACTCTCTTCTGGCTTGTAGGGTTTCTGCCGAGAGATCCGCTATTAGTCTGATGGGCTTCCCTTTGAGGGTAACCCGACCTTTCTCTCTGGCTGCCCTTAACATTTTTTCCTTCATTTCAACTTTGGTGAATCTGACAATTATGTGTCTTGGAGTTGCTCTTCTCGAGGAGTATCTTTGTGGCGTTCTCTGTATTTCCTGAATCTGAACGTTGGCCTGCCCTGCTAGATTGTGGAAGTTCTCCTGAATAATATCCTGCAGAGTGTTTTCCAACTTGGTTCCATTCTCCCCATCACTTTCAGGTACACCAATCAGACGTAGATTTGGCCTTTTCACATAGTCCCATATTTCTTGGAGGCTTTGTTCATTTCTTTTTATTCTTTTTTCTCTAAACTTCCCTTCTCGCTTCATTTCATTCATTTCATCTTCCATTGCTGATACCCTTTCTTCCATTTGATTGCATCGGCTCCTGAGTCTTCTGCATTCTTCACGTAGTTCTCGAGCCTTAGTTTTCAGCTCCATCAGCTCCTTTAAGCACTTCTCTGTATTGGTTATTCTAGTTATACATTCTTCTAAATTTTTTTCAAAGTTTTCAACTTCTTTGCCTTTGGTTTGAATGTCCTCCCATAGCTCAGAGGAATTTGATCGTGTGAAGCCTTCTCTCAGCTCGTCAAAGTCATTCTCCATCCAGCTTTGTTCCGTTGCTGGTGAGGAACTGCGTTCCTTTGGAGGAGGAGAGGCGCTCTGCGTTGTAGAGTTTCCAGTTTTTCTGTTCTGTTTTTTCCCCATCTTTGTGGTTTTATCTACTTTTGGTCTTTGATGATGGTGATGTACAGATGGGTTTTCGGTGTTGATGTCCTTTCTCTTTGTTAGTTTTCCTTCTAACAGACAGGACCCTCAGCTGCAGGTCTGTTGGAATACCCTGCTGTGTGAGGTGTCAGTGTGCCCCTGCTGGGGGGTGCCTCCCAGTTAGGCTGCTCGGGGGTCAGGGGTCAGGGACCCACTTGAGGAGGCAGTCTGCTGGTTCTCAGATCTCCAGCTGCGTGCTGGGAGAACCACTGCTCTCTTCAAAGCTGTCAGACAGGGACATTTAAGTCTGCAGAGGTTACTGCTGTCTTTTTGTTTGTCTGTGCCCTGCCCCCAGAGGTGGAGCCTACAGAGGCAGGCAGGCCTCCTTGAGCTGTGGTGGGCTCCACCCAGTTCGAGCTTCCCGGCTGCTTTGTTTACCTAAGCAAGCCTGGGCAATGGCGGGCGCCCCTCTCCCAGCCTCGCTGCCGCCTTGCAGTTTGATCTCAGACTGCTGTGCTAGCAATCAGTGAGATTCCGTGGGCGTAGGACCCTCCGAGCCAGGTGCGGGATATAATCTCGTGGTGCACCGTTTTTTAAGCCGGTGTGAAAAGCGCAATATTCGGGTGGGAGTGACCCGATTTTCCAGGTGCGTCCGTCACCCCTTTCTTTGACTTGGAAAGGGAACTCCCTGACTCCTTGCACTTCCCAAGTGAGGCAATGCCTCGCCCTGCTTCGGCTCGCGCACGGTGCGCGCACCCACTGGCCTGGGCCCACTGTCTGGCACTCCCTAGTGAGATGAACCGGGTACCTCAGATGGAAATGCAGAAATCACCCATCTTCTGCTTCCCTCAGGCTGGGAGCTGTAGACCGGAGCTGTTCCTATTCGGCCATCTTGGCTCCTCTCTCTTGCTTCACTGTTAAAGGGGTAATGTTCTATCTAAAACTTGGAGTCAGCTGATATAAAAGTTTTAACTCTTAAGTGGAGATAGGGATGCTATGTAGCAAGATTGCTGACCTGCATGCATGGCTTAACACTTGCCTTGCACTGCCTTAAATTGTGACAATAATTTGGTATTATATTGCCACAGAGTCAGTTTTGTCAGTCTTATGATCTCTATTTTAACATTAGTGCTGATGATTTGTTGTACCTAAAGAGCAAACAGAGGTACAACAGCAAACAGGTGTGTAACAAGGCCTGTCTGTCTCCTCCTGTTCTGTGTGGGAGATGCTGATGGGAGAAGAAAAGACACACACACAATACCTTTAAGGGTAAACAACTTTTTTATCCCATGTAAATGGTATTGCAGATATCTATATCTATATCTATATTTTTATCTATCTATATATATGTATGTATGTATCTATCTATCTATATCTATATCTATGTATATGTACTCACCAGACTATACAGCATTCATGGCCAGATGGGGAAGCAACAGCCTAGGCTCCAGAGTTGGCTACTACACCCACCAGACTATGGAGGATTCACTTTTCAGCTTCAAGATCACCGCTGGAAGCTCAGGGACTTCCCATATTCCAGGATAGAAACTCCTCCAGTTCTCCCTCTTGGCAATTGAATGGTCGGGGGGAACTGACCTTAGTGAAAATTGGGTATCTAAATTAGTGGAATTTGAACCTTTGACTGTGCATGAAGTGCTGCAGGGGATTTCAGTCAGCAAAGGAGATGCCAGGGGGATCTCTTAGCATAGATGGTGCTTGCTTACTGCTTATAAGTTAATGTGTTGAGATAGAAATCAATTGCTACAAGATAAATGTAAGCTGGAAAAAGAAAACACTACTCTGACTTCCAGACTGGCCCTGGCTCAATTTCAGGCCTATGTCTTGACTGATCAGGCTCAAAGCTAACAGATTATTGATGAGAAAAACAGCTGTGCAAGTGGTGTGGTCAGGGTAAAACTGAAGAACGAGTCAGCTGGGGCTTGGTGTGGGTAAAAACCCAGTTCCTATCTGAAGAATGGGAAATTAGCCTTTACAAATTTCAAGAACCTGCACAAACTATAAAATTGCTTTGCATCCCATGGAACGCAAGGAAAAAGTCCATTTTACCAAAGGCTATGGTTAAAATACTAGAATTTGCAACCCCTACCACTAAAAAGGAGGCCCAGAAATGTATTGGCTTGTTTGAATTCTGGAGACATCTTCCCGGTTTGGGTAACATCTCACAACCTCTGTATGCAGTCACTAGAAAATATAATGACTTTCACTGGAGGTAGAAAGAGAACACAGCCTTTGAGCAAGCTAAGCAAGCAGTGCATCTGGCCCTGGATGGCCCATATGGGATGGGACAGTAGAATTGCAAATAACTGTCCTGGATTAACATGCTAATTGGAGCCTTTGGCAGAAACAAGATGGGAAGAGGGGACTCTTGGGGTTTCAAACCTGGAAGCTGCCAGAGGCTGGCGAAGCTTATAATCCTTTTGAGAAGCGACTGTTAGCTTGCTATCGGGCTTTGCTGGAAATGGAGACTCTCTGCTTCAACCATGATGTCTTCATAAGGCCTGAAATTCCTATTATGACTTGGGTCATGAGGTCCACCAAAACCCATCGAATAGGGCATGCTGAAGAAAGTAGCATCACATAATGGAATGGTATATACAAGATAGGGCAAAGCCAGGACCAAAGGGGGTATCATTTTTAAAAAATTTGCCAACTCAGAAAGCCACCGAACAAGTCCTGCAGGCAGGGAAAGAGACCTGCCTCATCCAAAGCATCAGAAACATGCTTGGTTTACTGATGGATCTGCCAAATACATTGGTGGGACCCGATGCGGGGAGGCCGTGGCTTATAATCCTGTTAAAAACATAAGTATTTCTGATGAAGGAAGGGATGGGAGCAGCCAGCTGGCTGAGCTAGTAGCCATCTTCCCAGCTATTCAGAAGAAGGCCAGAGGGATTTGACACTTGTATACCAACTCTTGGTCAGTAGCAAATGGTCTTACTATCTAGATGCCTCAATGGCAATGAGGCAAATGGTTAATTGGGAATAAAAAGGTTTGGGGAAAGAATACAGGGAAGATATCTGAATCCCTGTGCACCCTACCATTAACACTGTTATGTTGATGCTCATGCATCTCTGCTTTCTCTTGGCAGACTAATTAATCAGCAGGCAGGTCAACAGGCCAAAATTTCCACCATAACTGCAAACTCAAATGTGGATGAACGGATTACAACACGTGCAAGCATTGGAATGAGAGGCATTATAGTGTATGGTGGTGTAATTGATAGTGATTACCGGTGAGAGTTAAAAATCTTTTAACACAATACCACCGAAAATTCTTTTGCCATAAAGCCGCAGATGCAGATTGCTCAGCTACTGGTAGTACCGTGTCACCAATTAACCCCCGAGGAAATTTCTGCCCCAATAGGAACATCATATAGAACTGGAGGATATGGGTCCACCAAAGTGGGCAGCTTAAATCCTGGGGCCACAGTATGGGGGCAGAAAATGAGGGGAGTAGTAAAATTTTAAAAACAATGTTATGTTCCCCTCTGTTTTTGTTATTAAAAGGAATAGCCTATCGAATGATGGTCAGCACCTGCTTCTTTGTGTCTGAGGCCAAGAATGCATTTAGCAACTGGGTAGCCACCGCTGCAAAAGAAGTCAACTGCAGTTAGAGCTGCCTTTTAGTCGAATTGCCACAGGCTGCAGGGAATGGGCTCCCTTAAAAAATTGTCTCTGCCAACATTTCCAAGTGGTTACATCACTACCAAGGGGGTCAGGAGAATAGCACCTGTAATCCCACCTGGACTTCTTTTAACCAAATCAAAGAGTCTATTTTTGCCCAAGTCTGACAAAAGGAGAAATCCACTTTTGCAATGCATCAAAGGCCTTTGTATCCTACCCAATATACTTGGAAAGACATATACAGGGAACCTACCATACCGGTAGCTGAACTCCATATGGCACCGCACCCCCGCTTTGTCTGGAGGCCTTAAATGGCTCTTTTAATGTTACTCTGGGGTTTCTCCCACCAGACAATTGTCAACACATACTCCAAATCAACAGCATTGTCCCCAATGAAACACAACCTCTTTCCTAAATCTAGATGCTTCCAAACATCACTGGTTACAAATGCGCCAGAATCCCTGATGGGGTGTACCCTATAACAGTGTTCTCCTCTGCCACTGATACAATTCTGTTTCAGCAAAAAATTTAAATATTAAGCTTACATGTAGAAAAAGCTCTTAATGGTAGTAGCACTGGACTTATGTTGTTATCAGAGGAATTTGCTCAGTTGTGTACTGTTGTGTTGCAAAATCAAATGGCATTAGGTATGCTTACCGCAGCCCAAAGAGCGTTTCAGCCTTGCTGCATACTGAATTTTGTGTGTGTATCCCTGACAGTTCTCACAATATTACTCTCCTCGCCCAAGACATGCAAGGACAAGCAAAACAAAATCTAACTGTCAGGACCCCATCATGAATTGGCTGTCCAACTGGCATTGGCGTTGGCCTTGGTGGGTGCGGTTTTTATTAACTGTGTTTTAATTCTCCTCTGCTTACCCTGCTTCTGTAACCTCTACCAATTATGTATTCCTCGTATATCTGTAAGCGTATTTTCTTACATTTGAGTATCAATTGGGACAGAATACGCAGAAAAAGTTAAATAATATATTTAAACTCAATTGAACATGGACACAAATAATGGTCACCAAGTCTCGGAATAGGTTTTGTGAGCCCCTTGAGGCATTCATCCAGCACTGTTTCAGAGAAATCTCTATTTCAATCTATTCCTATACTTTAGTTATTGAAAAACAACAGACAACGGCAAAAGCAAATTGACCTTTTTGTGTTCCTTTGTGCATGGATGAGTGGCTGACTCTGGAGCCCAGGCTGTTGCTTCTCGGTCTGGTGATGAATCCTCCATAGTCTATCCTCATATATATATATACACACACATTTTTTTCCTTCTCCCCTTCCCACTGCAATTTGCTTATTGTATCAATTTGCTTATTCTATCATTTGCTTATTATATCTGCATTGCCATTTATGTGGGATCGAGTTTGTTGACCTTTAAAGGTATTGTGTGTGTGTGTTTTCTTCTTCCCTGGAGCATCTCCTGTACATAACACCTCTCTTGCTGTCATAGCCAGAAATTCAGTTTTTAAGTTTTTTTCTGGGGTCTTCTTGCTCAAGAGGAAGTATGTTCAGTTGATACGGGGCTTAGAATTTTATTTATAGCTTTTATTACATTCTAAAACCCCCAGCAGAAACAAGTCTTAACAAACACAGATTTTAATTTCTGAACATTCTTCTAATAAGTTTTGCACAGGTAGCGGAACAACTAAAAAAACTGTTTTTTGCATTGATGGTCTACCTCATTACAATTTAACCTCTAAAGGGTGTTTTAGTCAGCTCTAGAGTCTGCTACGGTTAAGGTGAATTTACTGCTTCTTCCCATAATAAAGAATGGTATTTTAAAATAACATAACTTCTATGGCATATATTTTTAAAGCATGACCACAATTTGAATAATTAGAACATTTAAAAATTCGAAATATTGTTATACTGACACTGCACCAAAATTTATCCTTCCAATGATGACAGGGAATTTTTAATAGTTGTTATTTTTATAGTAAAATTAAACTTTAATAAAATAACTGACTTACAAACTTCAGCAAGAAGACACATATTCAGCCAGAGATATCAGTTCCCCTTTAGAAAAAAATACTCACTTCTCATTAAAATCTCTCTGTATCTTACTGATTTCAGATAGAATTTAAATTTCACCTTAATAACAGAAACAAAAGAACTAGTTAATCTAACAAAAACTAATAAACGTATGCCCAAATTTACTGGCAGAATCATGGGTACGTCATATAATAGTAACATTCTACCAGTTTTAAGTAAAATAAATAAGGAAATAATCTTAACAGTGCAACCTACCAGGAGGGGCCTATCCCTACTCCCAGGTGAGTGGGAACCCTGCGCTCTGGGGGGGTTGCGCCTCAGCCTCTGGCACCTCTTGTTGGCAGCGTCGCCGTTGCAGGCACAGGGCAGGCGTTGGGGGACGTGCAGTGGGCCAGGCCCAGGCACGTCCTTTGCCAGGGGCTGGGCAGGTGCGGAGAGGGGCGGAGCGGTGCTGCCCTGGTCGAGGGAGCCTCCAGCTCTGGACAGTTTGCTGCCCCTGCCCCAGGGGGGGTTAAAGGAGCTGAGTGGGGAAGCGGAGGGACGAGGGGATTCAGGCCAGGCCAGGTGGCCCTTTAGCCCTGGGTGATGCAGGAGGGGCTGTGGAAGACCAGAGAAGACCCGGAGCAGAAACTGGGAACTGATATCTCTGGCTGAATATTTGTCCTCTTGCTGAAGTTTGAAAGTCAGTTATTTCATTAAAGTTTAATTTTATTATAAAAATAGCAACTATTAAAAATTCCCTGTAGTCACTGGAATGATAATTTTTGGTGCCGTTTCAGCATAATAATCTTTGGAGTTTTTAGATATTCTAATTATTCAAATTGCGGCCATGTTTCAAAATATATGCCATATAATTTTATGGCATTCGCCTCTGTGTCCCTGTTGGCTCAGGAAACGTGCTTCTTCCTCCTTCCGCAGACTCGGATCAGGCCGCCCTTCCTCCTGGCGTCTGAGGCGGGCATGGGGACAGCCTGCCAGCGAATATCCTGACAATGCCCGGCCTGTGCCCTGTGCTCAGCGTGGGGTCCTGGTTGGTGCCCCTCAGAGCCCCTCACAAAGTAGCGCGACAGGTGTGGAAGGACCCAGCACCCGGCAGCGGTGAGCAGATGGATGCTCCAGGGATGTGGGGCAGCTGGCAGTCAAGAACCCACTGCCAAATTCAATGGCATAACGTTGCATATTTTTCCCTTATATTTTTGTGTAGGAGTTTTACAGCTTTCAGCCTTACATTTGTATTTTCTTAACATAGGATTCCAGAACAATGCTACGAGGGTCTGAATGCCTGTCCCACACGTAGGATTCCAGAACACATCAGCTGTGGTCTGAATGATTGCCCCTCACATATGATTCCAGAACAGTCCTGCTGTGGTCTGAATGATTGTGCCTCACACAGGGTTCTAGAGCACTCCTCCCCTAGTCTGAATGTTTGTCCGTCAGACAAGATTCCAGAACACTGCTGCTGGGTTCTGAGTGTTTGTCCCTCACATACAATTCCAGAACACTGCTAGGTGGGTCTGAATGTTTGTACCTCACATAAGATTCCAGAACACTGTTATGAGGGTCTGAATCTTTGTCCCTCACGTAGGACTCCAGAACACTCCTGCTGTGTTCTGAATGTGATTTCCTAACATAGGATTACAGAACAATGCTACGAGGGTCTGAATGCTTGTCCCACAAGTAGGATTCCAGAACACTCCAGCTGTGGTCTGAATGATTGTCCCTCACATAGGATTCCAGAACACTGCTGCTGGGTTCTGAGTGTTTCTCCCTTACATAGGATTCCACAACAGTGCTACGAGGGTCTCAATGTTTGTCCCGCACATAGGACTCCAGAACACTCCTGCTGTGTTCTGAATGTATTTTCCTAACCTAGGAATCCAGAACAGTGCTACGAGAATCTGAATGCTTGTCCCACACTTAGGATTCCAGGAGATGCCAGCTGTGGTCTGAATGATGGTCCCTCATATAAGATTCCAGAACAATGCTGCTGGGTTCTGAGTGTTTGTCCCTCACATAGGACTGCAGAACACTGCTACGAGGGTCTGAATGATTGTACCTCACATAGGATTACGGAACACTCCTGCTCTGGTCTGAATGTTTGTCCCTCAGATGGGATTCCAGAACACTGAGTTTGGGATCTGAGTGTTTGTCCCTCACGTATGACTCCAGAACACTGCCTCATGGTTGTAAATGTTTGTCCATCACATAGGATTCCAGAACACTGCTATGAGGGATTGAAAGTTTGTCCCGCACATAGGACTCCAGAACATTCCTGCTCTGCTCTGAATGTTTGTCCCTCAGATAGGATTCCAGAACACAGCTTCTGGGTTCTGAGTATTTGTCCCTCACATAGGATTCCAGAACACTGCTACGTGGGCCTAAATGTTTGTCCCTCACATAGGAGTCCAGAACACTGCTGCTTTGGTCTGAATGTTTGTCCCTCACTTAGGATTCCAGAACACTCCTTCTGTGGTCTGAAAGTTTCTCCCTCACAAAGGATTACAGAACACTGCTCCTGGTTTCTGAGTGTTTGTCTTTTACATAGGATTCCAGAACACTGCTACGAGGGTCTGAATGTTTGTCCCTCATATAGGATTCCAGAACACTACTGCTGTGGTCTGAATACTTGACCCTTATATAGGATTCCAGAACATTCCTCCTGTCATCTGGGTGTTTGTGCCTCACAAGGGTTTCCAGATCTATCCTGCTGTGTTCTGAATGTTTCCCCCTCAGATAGGATTCCAAAACATTTCTTCTCTGGTCTGAGTGTTTCTCCCTCAAATAGGATTCCAAAACACTGCTACTGGAGTCTGAATGTTTGTCCCTCACATAGGATTCCAGAACACTGCTACGAGGGTCTGAATTATTCTCCCTGACATAGCATTCCAGAACACTCCTGCTGTGTTCCGAATGTTTGTCTCTCACTCAGGATTCCAGAACACTCGTGCTGTGGTCTGAAAGTTTGTCCCTCACTTAGGATTCCAGAACACTGCTGTTGGTTTCTGAGTGTTTGTACTTAACGTAAGATTCCAGAGCACAGCTACTTGGGTCTAAATGTTTGTCCCTCAGATAGGATTCCAGAACACTGCTAAGAGGTTCTGAATGTTTGTCCCTCACATAGCATTTAAGAACACTGCTACGAGGGTCTGAATGTTTTCCCTCACATAGGATCGAAGAGCACTGCTGCTGGGATCTGAATGTTTTTGGGCACATAGGATTCCAGAACTCTCCTGATGTGGTCTTTATGTTTGTCCCTCACATAGAATTCCAGAACACTGCTGCTGAGTTCTGCTTGTTTGTCCCTCATTTAGGATTCAAGAACACTCCTGCTGTGTTCTGAATGTGTGTCTCTCACATAGGATTCCAGAACATTGCCAGGAGGGTCTAAATGTTTCTCTGTCACCTAGGATTATAGAACACTGCTGCTGGGTTCTGAGTGTTTCTCCCTCACTTTGGATTCCAGAACAGAGCTTCGGGGGTCTGAATATCAGTCCCTCACATAGGACTCCAAAACACTCCTGCTGTGGTCGGAAAGTTTGTCCCTCACATTGGATTCCAGAACGCTGATGCTGTGGTCTGAATGTTTGCCCCTCATATAGGATTCCAGAATACTCCTGATGTAATCTGAATGTTTGTACCTCACATAGGATTCCTGAACACTCCTGCTGTGGTCCGAATGTTTGTCCCTCACATGGCATTCCAGAGCACTGCTGCTGGGGTCTGAATGTTTGTCCTTGACATAGGATTTCACAACACTGCTAAGTGGGTCTGAATGTTTGTCCCTTACTTAGGATACCAGAAAACTCCTGCTGTACTGTGAATGTTTATTCCTCAAATACAATTCCAGAACACTGCTTCTGTAGTATGAAAGGCTGTCCCTCACAGAGGATTCCAGAGCACTGGTAGGAAATTCTGAATGTGAGTCCCTAACATAGGATTCCAGAACACTGCTGCTGGGTTCTGAGGGTTTGTACCTGCCTTAGGATTTCAGGACACTGTTACGAGGGTCTGATTGTTTCTCCCTCACATAGGATTCCAGAACACTGCTGCTGGGTCTGAATGTTTGTCCCTCACATAGGATTCCAGAACACTGCTAAGAGTGTCTCAATGTTTGTCCCTCACATAGGATTCCAAAACACTGCTACGAGGTTCTGAATGTGAGTCCCTCACATAAGATTCCAGAACACTGCTGCTGTGGTCTGATTGTTTGTCCCTCACATAGGATTCCAGAACACTGCCGCTGTGGTCTGAATGTTTGTCCCTCACATAGGATTCCAGAACACTCCTGCTGTGGTCTGAATGTTTGTCCCTCACTTAGGATTCCAGAACAGTACTGTGGGGTTCTGAGTGTTTGTCCCTCACGTATGATTCCAGAACACTGCTACTTGGGTCTAAATATTTGTCCCTCACATAGGATTCCAGAACACTGCTGCTGGGGTCTGAATGTTTGTCCCTTACATAGGAGTCCAGAACACTCCTGTTGTAGTCTGAATGTTTGTCCCTCACATAAGATTCCAGAACACTGCTGCTGGATTCCGAGTGTTTGTCTCTCACATAGGATTCCAGAACACTCCTACGGGGGTCTGAATGTTTGTCCCTCACATAGGATTCCAGAACATTGCTAAGAGGGTCCGCATTATTGTCCCTCACATAAGATTCCAGAACAATGCTAACAGGGTCTGAATGTTTGTCCCTCACATAAGATTCCAGAACCCTGCTGCAGTGGTCTGAATGGCTGATCCTCACATAGGATTCCAAAACACTCCTGCTGTGGTCTGGGTGTTTGTTCCTCAGGTGAGATTCCAGAACAATCTTGCTGTGGTCTGAATGTGTCTCCCTCACATAGGATTCCAAAACATTCCTGCTGTGATCTGAGTGATTGTTCCTCAAATAGGATTCCAGAACACTGCTACTCGGGTCTGAAAGTTTGTCCCTCACATAGGATTCCAGAACACTGCTACCAGGGTCTGAATTATTCTCCTTCACATAGGATTCCAGAACACTCCTGCTGTGATCTGAAAGTGTGTCCCTCCCCTAGGATACCAGAACACTGCTGTTGTGTTCTGAGTGTTTTTCCCTCATGTAAGATTCCACAACACTGCTGTTGTGTTCTGAGTGTTTTTCCTTCATGTAAGATTCCAGAACACTGCTACGTGGGTCTAAATGATTGTGCTTCAAATACGATTCCAGAACACTTCTTCTGGGGTCTGAAAGTTTGTCCCTCACATCGGATTCCAGAACACTCCTGCAGTGGTCTGAAAGTTTGTCCCTCACATAGTATTCCAGAACAATGATGCTGTGTTCTGAATGTGTGTCCCTCACATAGGATTCCAGAACACTCCTTCTGTGATCTGAATGTTTTTCCCTGACAAAGGATTCCAGAACACTGCTGCTGGGTTCTGATTGTTTGTTCTTCACTTAGGATTCCAGAACACTGATATGAGGGTCTGATGTTTGTCCCTCATATAGGATTCCAGAACACTGCTGCTGGGTTCTGACTGTTTCTCCTTCACATAGGATTCCAGAACACTGCCTTGACGGTCTGAATGATTATACCTCACATAGGATTCCAGAACACTCCTGCCCCGGTCTGAATGTTTGTCCCTCATATGGGATTCCACAACACTGCTGCTGGGTTTTGAGTGTTTTTCCCTCACATAGGATTCCAGGACACTTCTAAGAGGGTCTTAATGTTTTTCCCTCACATAAGATTCCAGAACACTGCTACGAGAGTCTGAAAGTTTGTCCCTCACATAGGATTTCTGAACACTGCTATGAATGGTCTGAATGTTTGTCCCACACAAAGGAGTCCAGAACACTCCAGCGGTGTTCTGAATGTATTTTCCTCACATAGGATTCCAGAACAATGCTATGAGGGTTTGCATGCTTGCCCCACACGTAGGATTCCAGAACATCCCAGCTGTGGTCTGAATGATTGTCCTCACATAGGATTCCAGAACACTCCTGCTGTGGTGTGGGGGTTTGCGCCACACATGGAATTCCAGAACAATCCTGCTGTGGTTTGAATGTTTTTCCCTCACATAGGACTCCAGAACACTCCTGCTGTGGTCTGAGTTTTCTCCCTCAAATAGGATTCCAGAGCACTGCTAAGGCGGTCTGAATGTTTGTCCCTCACGTAACATTCCAGAGCACTGCTACGAGGTTCTGAATGTTTATCCCTTCCATAGGATTCCAGAACCCTACTGCTGTGGTCTGAGTGGTTGACCCTCACATATGATTCCAGAACACTACTGCTGTGGTCTGGGTGTTTGTGCTTCGCATGGGATTCCAGAACAATCCTGCTGTGGTCTGAATGTTTCTCACTCACATAGGATTCCAAAACATTCCTGATGTGGTCTGAGTGTTTGTCCCTCAAATAGGACTCCATAACACTACCATTGGGGTATGAATGTTTGTTCCTCACATAGGATTCCAGAACACTGTTACGAGGGTCTGAATTATTCTCCCTCACATAGCTTTCCAGAATACGCCTGCTGTGGTCTGAATGTTTGTCCCTCAATTAGGATTCCAGAACACTGCCGTTGGGTTCTGAGTGTCCGTGCCTCACGTATGATTCCAAAACACTGCTACGTGGGTCTAAATGTTTGTCCCACACATAGGACTCTAGAACACCGCTATGAGGGTCTGAATATTTATCCCTCACATAGGACTTCAAAACACTCCTGCCGTGCTCTCAATGTATTTTCCTCACATAGGACTCCAGAACAATGCGACGAGGGTCTGGATGCTTGTCCTACCCTTAGGATTCCAGAACACCCCAGCTGTGGTCTGCATGTTTGTCCCTCAGATAGGATTCCAGAACACTGCTGCTTGATTTGTTTGTCCCTCAGAGATGATTCCAGAACACTGCTATGAGGGTCTGAATGTTTGTTCCTCACATGAGATTCGAGAACACTCCTGCTGTGGTCTGAATGTTTGTCCCAAACCTAAGATTCCAGAACACTGTTGCTGGGTTCTGAGTGTTTGTCTCTCACATAGGATTCCAGAACAAATGTACAAGGGTCTGAATTATTTTCCCTCACATAGGATTCCAGAACACTCCTGCTCTTGTCTGAATATTTGTCCTTCACAAAGGATTCCAGAACACTACTGCTGTGATCTGAATGGTTGACCCTCACACAGGATTCCAGAACATTTCTGCTGTGGTCTGGGTGTTTGTGCCTCACATGGGATTCCAGAACAATCCTCCTGTGGTCTTAATGTTTCTACTTCACATAAGATTCCAAAACATTTATGCTGTGGTCTGAGTGTTTGTCCCTCAAAAAGGATTCCAGAATCCTGTTAGGAGGGTCTGAATTATTCTCTCTGATAGGATTCCAGAACACGGCTACGAGAGTCTGAATGTTTGTCCCTCACAAAGTACTCCAGAAGACTCCTGATGTGTTCTGAATGTATTTTCCTGACATAGGATTCCAGAACAATGCTACGAGTTTCTGAATGCTTGTCCCACACATAGGATTCCAGAACACCCCCGCTGTGGTCTGAATGATTGTCCCTCTCATAGGATTCCAGAACACTGCTGCTGTGTTTTGAGATTTTCTCCCTCACATAGGATTCCAAAAGACTGCTACGAGGTTCTGAATTATTCTCCATCACATGGGATTCCAGAACACCCCTGCTGTCTTCTGAATGTTTCTCCCTCACATAGTGTTCCATAACACTACTGCTGGGTTCTGAGAGTTTTTCCCTCACATAGGATTCCAGAACACTGCTACGAGGGTCAGAATGTTTGTCCAACCCATTTAATTCCAGAACAATCCCGCTCTTGTCTGAATGTTTGTCCCTCACATAAGATTCCAGAACTCTGCAGCTGGGTTCTGATTCTTTGTCTCTCACGTAGGATTCCAGAACACTTCTACGAGGGTCTGAATGTCTGTCCCTCACATAAGATTCCAGAACACTGCTGCTGGGATATGAGTGTTTGTCCCTCACATAGGATTACAGAACACGGCTACGAGGGTCTGTATTTTTCTCCTTGACATAGGATTCCAGAACACTCCTGCTGTGGTCTGGATGTTTCTCCCTCACTTAGGATTCCAATACAATACTGCTGTGGTCTGAATGGTTGTCTCTCACATAGGATTCCAGAACAATCATGCTGTCATCTGAGTGTTTGTCCCTCAAATAGGATTCCAGAACACTGCTATGAAGGTCTGTATTATTCTCCCTCACATAGGATTCCAAAACAATGCTAGAAGGGCCTGAATGTTTTTCCCACACTTAGGATTCCGGAACACCCCAGCTGTGGTCTGAATGACTGTCCCTAACATAGGATTCCTGAAAACTGCTGCTGGGTTCTGAGTGTTTTTCCCTCACATAGGATTCCAAAACACTGCTACGAGGGTCTGAATGTTTGTCCCTTACAAAGGATTCCAGAACACTACTGCTGTGGTCTGAATATTTGATCCTCACATAGGATTCCAAAACACAGCTGCTGGGTTATTAGTGTTTCCCCCTCGCATAGGATTCCAGAACACTGCTAAGAGGGTCTGAATGTTTGTCCCTCACATAAGATTCCTGAGCACTGCTACGAGGGTCTGAATGTTTCTGCTTCACATAGCATTTCCAGAACACCAATGCTGTGGTCTGAATGGTTGAACCTCACATAGGATTCCAGAACACTCCTGCTGTGGTATGGATGTTTGTGTCTCACATGGGATTCCAGAACAGTCATGCTGTCATCTGAGTGTTTGTCCCTCAAATAGGATTCCAGAGCCCTGCTACGACGGTCTGTATTATTCTCCCTCACATAGGATTCCAGAACACGGCTACGAGGGTCTGAAGATTTGTCCCACACATAGGACTCCAGAACACTCCTGCTGTGTTCTGAATGCATTTTACTAACATAGGATTCCAGAACAATGCTACGAGGGTCTGAATGCTTGTCCCACACGTAGGATTCCGGAACACCCCAGCTGTGGTCTGAATGACTGTCCCTAACATAGGATTCCTGAACACTGCTGCTGGGTTCTGAGTGTTTTTCCCTCACATAGGATTCCAAAACACTGCTACGAGGGTCTGAATGTTTGTTCCTCACAAAGGATTCCAGAACACTACTGCTGTGGTCTATTTGACCCTCACATAGGAATCCAAAACACTGCTGCTGGGTTCTGAGTGTTTCTCCCTCGCATAGGATTCCAGAACACTGCTACGAAAGTCTGAATGTTTGTCCCTCACATAAGATTCCAGAACACTACTGCTGTGGTCTGAATGGTTGACCCACCCAAAGGATTCCAGAACACTCCTGCTGTGGTCTGTGGGTTTTTGCCTCACATGGGATTCCAGAAGAATCCTGCTGTGATCTGAGTGTTTCTCCTTCAAATAGGATTCCTGAACACTGCTACGAGGGTCTGAATTATTCTCCCTCACATAGGATTCCAGAACACTCCTGTTATGGTCTGAATGTTTGTCCCTCACTTAAGATTCCAGAACACTGATGTTGGGTTCTGACTGTTTGTCCCTCAAGTACGATTCCAGAACCCTGCTACGTGGGTCTAAATGTATGTCCCTCACATAGGATTCCTGAAGACTCCTACAAGGGTCTGAATGTTTCTCCCGCACATAGGACTCCAGAACACTGCTATGAGGGTCTGAATGCTTGTCCCACACGTAGGATTAAAGAACAACTCAGCTGTGGTCTGAATGATTGTCCCTAACATGGGATTCCAGAATACTACTCCTGGGTTCTGAGTGTTTGTCCCTCACATAGGATTCCAGAACACTGCTATGAGGGTCTGAAAATTGTCCCTCACATAGGATTCCAGAACACTGCTACGAGCATCTGATTTATTGTCCCTCACATAGGATTCCAGAACACTCCTGCTGTGGTCTGAATATTTGTCCCTCACATAGGATTCCAGAACACTGCTACGAGGGTCTGTATGTTTGTCCCGCACGTAGGTCTCCAGGACACTACTGCTGTATTCTGAATGTTCTTCCTCAAATAGGATTTCAGAACAATGCTATGAGGGTCTGAATGTTTGTCCCACACGTAGGGATCCAGAAAAATCCCAGCTGTGGTCTGGATGACTGTCCCTCACATAGGATTCCAGAACACTGCTGCTGGATTCTGAGTGTTTCTCCCTCACATAGGATTCCAGAACACTGCTGTTGGATTCTGAGAGTTTTTCCCTTACATAAGATTCCAGAAAACAGTTATATGGGTCTATATGTTTATCCCTCACAGAGGATTCCAGAGCACTGCTACGAAGGTCTGAATGTTTGTCCCTCACATAGGATTCCAGAGCACTGCTACAGGGGTCTGAATTATTCTCTTCACATAGGATTCCAGAACACTCCTGCTGTTGTCTGAATGTTTGTCCCTCACTTAGGATTCCAGAACACTGCTGTTGGGATTTGAGTGTTTGTCCCTCAAGTATGATTCCAGAACCCTGCTACGTGGGTCTAAATGTTTGTCCCTCACATAGGATTCCAGAACACTGCTACGAGGGTCCTAATGTTTGTCCTGCACATAGGATTCCAGAACACTCCTGCTGTGTTCTGATTGTGTTTTCCTCACATAGGATTCCAGAACAATGCTACGAGTGTCTGAATCTTTGTCCCAAACTTGGATTCCAGAACCCACCAGCTGTGGTCTTTCTGATGGTCTCACATAGGATTCCAGAACACTGATGCTGGGTTCTGAGTGTTTCTCCCTCACATAGGAATCCAGAACCATCCTGCTGTTGTCTGAATGTGTGTCCCTCACTTAGGTTTCCAGAATACTGCTGTTGGGTTCTGAGTGTTTGTCCCTCACGTACGATTCCAGAACACTGCTACGTGGGCCTAAATGTTTGTCCCTCACATAGGGTTCCAGAACACTGCTATGAGGGTCTGAATATTTGTCCCACACTTAGGTTTCCAGAACACCCCAGCTATGGTCTGAATGATTGGCCCTCACATAGGATTCTGGTACACTGCTTCTGGGTTCTGAGAGATTCTCTCTCACATAGGATTTCAGGTCACTGCTGCTGGGGTCTGAATGTTTGTCCCTCACATAGGATTCCAGAAAACTGCTACGAGGTTCTGAATTATTCTCCCTCACATAGGATTCCAGAACACTCCTCCTGTGGTCTGAATGTTTGTCCCTTACTTAGGATTCCAGAACAGTGCTGTTGGGTTCTGAGTGTTTGTCCCTCACGTACTATTCCAGAACACTGGTAAGTGGGTCTAAATGTTTGTCCCTCACTTAGGATTCCAGAACACTGCTGTTGGGTTCTGAGTGTTTGTCCCTCACATACTATTCCAGAACACTGGTACGTGGGTCTAAATGTTTGTCCCTCTCATAGGATTCCAGAACACTACTACGAGTGTCTGAATGTTTGTTCCTCACATAGGATTCCAGAACACTCCTGCTGTGGTCTCAATGTTTGTCCCTCACTTAGGATTCCAGAACACTCTTGCTGTGGTCTGAATGTTTGTCCCTCACTGAGGATTCCAGAACACTGCTGTTGGGTTCTGAGTATTTGTCCCTCACGTAGGGATCCAGAACAGTGCTACATGGGTCTAAGTGTTTCTCCCAGATATGGGATTCCAGAACACTGCTACGAGAGTTTAAATGTTTGTCCCTCACATAGGATTCCAGAACACTGCTACGAGGGACTGAATGATTGTACCTCACATAGGATACCAGAACACTCCTGCTCTCGTCTGAATGTTTGTCCTTCTAATAGGATTCCAGAACACTGCTGCTACTTTCTGAGTGTTTATCCCTCACATAGGATGCCAGAACACTGCTGCTGGGGTCTGAGATTTTGTCTCTCACATAACATTCCAGAACTCTGCTGCTGGGTTCTGAGTGTTTGTCCCTATCATACGATTCCAGAACACTGTTGCGAGGTTCTGAATGTTTGTCCCTCACATAGGATTCCAGGACACTACTGCTGTGGTCTGAATGGTTGACCCTCACATAGGATTCCAGAACACTCCTGCTGTGGTCTGGGTGTTTGTGCCTCACATGGGATTCCAGAATAATCCTGCTGTGGTCTGAATATTTCTCCCTCACATAGGATTCCAAAACATTCCTGCTGTGGTCTGAGTGTTTGTTCCTCACTTAGGTTTCGAGAACTCTCCTGCTGTGGTCTGAATGTTTGTCCCTTACATAGGAATCCAGATCACTGCTTCTGGGTTCTGAGTGTTTGTCCTTCACATAGGATTCCAGAACACTGCTACGAGAGTCTCAATGTTTGTCCCTCACGTAAGATTCCAGAACACTGCTACGAGGATCTGAATGTTTGTCTCACACGTAGGATTCCAGAACACCCTAGCTGTGGTCTGAATGATTGCCCCACACAAAGCATTCTACAACAGTGTCACTGGGTTCTGAGTGTTGTCCCTCAAATAGAATTCAGAACACTGCTACGAGGGTCTGAATGTTTGCCCCTCTAATAGGATTCCAGAACACTGCTACGAGGATCTGAATTATTGTCCCTTATGTAGGATTCCATAACACTGCTTTTGGGTTCTGAGTGTTTTTCCCTCATGTTTGATTCCAGAACAGTGTTACATGGGTCTAAATGTTTGTCCCTCACATAGGACTCCAGAACACTGCTACGAGGGTCTGAATGTTGGTCCCTCACATAGGATTCCAGAACACTGCTACAAGCGTCTAAATTATTCTCCCTCACATAGGATACCAGAACTCACATGCTGGAGTCTGAATGTTTGTTCCTCACTTACGATTCCGGAACACTCCTGCTGTGGTCTGAATGTTTGTCCCTCACTCAGGATTACAGAACACTGCTGTTGGATTCAGAGTGCTTGTCCCTCAAGTACAATTGCAGAGCACTGCTACTTGGGTTTAAGTGCTTGTCCCTCACATAGGACTCCAGAACACTGCTACGAGGGTCTGAATGTTGGTCCCTCACATAGGATTCCAGAACACTGCTACAAGCGTCTAAATTATTCTCCCTCACATAGGATACCAGAACACACATGCTGGAATCTGAATGTTTGTTCCTCACTTACGATTCCGGAACACTCCTGCTGTGGTCTGAATGTTTGTCCCTCACTCAGGATTACAGAACACTGCTGTTGGAT
Source organism: Homo sapiens (assembly GCF_000001405.40). Classification (NCBI taxonomy): domain Eukaryota; kingdom Metazoa; phylum Chordata; class Mammalia; order Primates; family Hominidae; genus Homo; species Homo sapiens. The sequence continues at coordinate 26,772 of NT_113930.2, read as the reverse complement.
TCAGAGTGCTTGTCCCTCAAGTACAATTGCAGAGCACTGCTACTTGGGTTTAAGTGCTTGTCCCTCACATAGGACTCCAGAACACTGCTACGAGGGTCTGAATGTTGGTCCCTCACATAGGATTCCAGAACACTGCTACAAGCGTCTAAATTATTCTCCCTCACATAGGATACCAGAACACACATGCTGGAATCTGAATGTTTGTTCCTCACTTACGATTCCGGAACACTCCTGCTGTGGTCTGAATGTTTGTCCCTCACTCAGGATTACAGAACACTGCTGTTGGATTCAGAGTGCTTGTCCCTCAAGTACAATTGCAGAGCACTGCTACTTGGGTTTAAGTGCTTGTCCCTCACATAGGATTCCAGAACACTGCTACAAGGGTCTGAATGTTTGTCCCGTACATAGGACTCCAGAACACACCTGCTGTGTTCTGAATGTGTTTCCCTAACCTAGGATTCCGGAACAATGCTACGAAGTTCTGAATGCTAGTCCCACACGTAGAATTCCAGAGCACCCTAGCTGTGCTCTGAATGATTTTCTCTCACATAGGATTCCAGAACCCTGCTGCTGGGTTCTGATGGCTTCTCCCTCACATAGGATTCCAGAAAACTGCTGCGAATGTCTGAATGATTGTAAATCACAAAGGATTCCGTAACACTAATGCTCTCTTCTGAATATTGGTACCTCAGATTGGATTCCAGAACACAGCAGCTGGGTTCTGAGTGTTTGTCCCTCAGAAAGGATTCTAGAACACTCCTACGAGGGTCTGAAAGTTTGTCCCTCACATAGGATTCCAGAGCACTACTGCTATCAACTGAAAATTTGACCCTCACATAGGATTCCAGAACACTCCTGCTGTTGTCTGTGCCTCACTTGGTATTCCAGAACAATCCTGCTGCAGTCTGAACGTTTCTCCATCACATAGGATTCCAAAACATTGCTTCTGTTGTCTGAGTGTTTGTCCCAAAATAGAATTCCAGGACACTGCTGCTGGGTTGTGACTGTTTGTCCCTCACAAAGCATTCCATAACACTGCTGCCGTCGTCTGAATGTTTGTCCCTCAGATACAATTCCAAAACATTCCTGCTGTGGTCTCAATATCTGTTCCTCCCTTAGGATTCCAGAACAAAGCTCTGAGGTTCTCAGTGTTTGTCTCACACTTATGATTCCAGAACGCTGCTGTGTGGGTCTAAATGTTTGTCTCTCACATAGGATTCCAGAGCACTGCTCCTGGGTACTGAATGTTTGTCCATCACATAGGATTCCAGAACACTCCTGTTGTGGTCTGAATGTTTGTCCCTCACGTAGGATTCCAGAACACTGCCGCTGGGTTGTGAGTGTTTGTTCCTGACGTACGATTCCAGAACACTGCTACGTCGGTCTAAATGTCTGTCCCTCACATAGGATTCCAGAACACTGCTCCTTGGGACTGAATGTTTCTCCCTCACATAGGTTTCTAGAACACTCCTGCTGTGGTCTGAATGTTTGTCCCTCACATAAGATTCTAGAACACTGCTGCTTTGTTCTAAAACTTTGCCCCTCACATAAGATTCTAGAACACTGCTGCTTTGTTCTAAAACTTTGCCCCTCACATAGGATTCCAGAACACTTCTAAGAGGATCTGAATGTTTGTCCCTCACATAAGACTCCAGAACACTGCTATTGTGGTCTGAATGTTTGTTCCTCACATAGGATTCCGGAACACTGCTGCTGGGTTCTTAGTGTTTTTCCTTCATATAGGATTCCAGAACACAGCTACGAGGGTCTGAATATTTGTCCTGCACATAGGACTCCAGAACACTCCTTCTGTGTTCTGAATGTATTTTCCTAACAGAGGATTCCAGAACAATGGTACGAGGTTCTGAATGCTTGTTCTACACGTAGGATTCCAGAACACCCCAGCTTTGGTCTGAATGATTGTCCCTCACATTGGATTCCAGAACACTGCTGGGTTCGCAGTGTTTGTCTCTCACATAGGATTCGAGAACAGTGCTACGAGGGTCTGAATGTTTTTCCCTCTCATAGGATTCAAGAACACTGCAGCAACCGTCTGAATTATTCTCCCACACATGGGATTCCAGGGCACTCTTGCTGTGGTCTGAACTGTGTGTCCCTGAATTAGGATTCCAGAACACTCCTGCTTTAATCTGAATGTTTGTCCCTCACATAGGATTCCAAAACACTCCTGATTTGATCTGAATGTTTGTCCCTCACATAAGATTCAAGAACACTGCTGCTGGGGTCTGGAAGTTTGTCCCTCACATATGATTTCAGAACACTTCTACGGGTTTCTCAATCTTTGTCCCTCACATAGGATTCCAGAAATCTGCTTCTGGCTTCTGAGTGTTTTTCTCTCACATAGGATTCCAGAACACTGCTATGAGGGTCTGAATGTTTGTCCCTCACATAGGATTCCTGGACACTCCTGCTGTGGTCTGAATGTTTGTCCCACACACAGAACTCCAGAACAATGCTGCTGGGTGTGAATGTTTGTCACTCACACAGGATTCCAGAACACCCCTGCTGTGTTCTGAATGTTTGTTCATCACATAGACTTCCAGAACACTCCTGCTGTGGTCTGGGTGTTTATCTCTCACATAGGATTCCAGAACAGTGCTGCTGTGGTCTGAATGTTTGTCCCTCGCATAGGATTCCAGAACACTGCTACGAAGATTTGAATGTTTGTCTTTCACATAGGATTTTAGAACACTGCAGCAGGGTTCTGAATATTTGTCCTTCACATAGGATTCCAGATCACTACTGCTGTGGTCTGAATGTTTGTCCTTTACATAGGATTTCACAACACTGCTACGAGGGTCTGAATGTTTGTCCCTTAAATAGGATACCAGAAAACTCCTGCTGTGCTGTGAATGTTTATTCCTCACATAGGATTCCAGAACACTGCTGCTTTGGTCTGAAAGGTTGTCCCTCACAGAGGATTCCAAAACTCTGGTACGAGGTTCTGAATGTGAGTTCCTAACATAGGATTCCAGAACACTGCTGCTGGGTTCTGAGTGTTTGTACCTGCAATAAGATTCCAGAACACTTCTGCTGGGGTCTGAATGTTTCTCCCTCATGTAGGATTCCAAAACAGTCCTGCTGTCTTCTGAGTGTTTGTCCCTCAAATGGGGTTCGAGAACACTGCTATGAGGGTCTGAATTATTCTCCCTCACATAGGATTCCAGAACACGGCTATGAGGGTCTGAATGTTTGTCCCTCACATATGATTCCTGAATACTCCTGCTGTGGTCTGAAAGTTTCCCTCAAATAGGATTCCAGAACAGTGCTGCTGGGTTCTGAGTGTTTTTGCCTCACATATGATTCCAGAACACTGCTACGAGTGTCCTAATGTTTGTTCCTCACATAGGATTACAGAACACTGCTGCTGGGTTCTGTGTATTTCTCACTCACATAGGATTCCAGAACACTGCTACGAGGGTCTGAATATTTGTTCCTCACATAATATTCCAGAACACTGCCAAGAGAGTCTGAATGTTTATCCCTCAGATAAGATTACAGAACAATGCTACGAGGCTCAGAATGTTTGCTCTTCACATCGGATTCCAGAACACTACTGCAGTGGTCTGAATGGTTGATGCTCACATAGGATTCCAGAACACTCCTGCTGTGGTCTGGGTGTTTGTGCCTCACATGGGATTCCATAACAATCCTGCTGTGGTGTGAATGCTTCTCTGTCACATAGGATTACAAAGCATTCTTGCTGTGGTCTGAGTGTTTGTCCCTCACATAGGGCTCCAGAACATTCCTGCTGTCGTGGGAATGTTTCTCCCTCACTTATGTTTCCAGAACACTCCTGCTGTGGTCTGAATGTTTATCCCTCACTTAGGATTCCAGAACACTGCTGTTGGGTTCTGAGTGTTTTGTGCCTCACATACGATTCTAGAACACTTCTACATTGGTCTAAATGCTCGTCCCTCACATAGGGCTCCAGAAAACTACTATGAGGGTCTGAATATTTGTCCCTCACCTAAGACTCCATAACACTGCTAAGAGAGTCTGAATGTTTGTCCCGCATGTAGAATTCCAGAACACTCCTGCTGTGTTCTGAATGTATTTTCCTCACTTAGGATTCCAGAACAATGCTACGAGGGTCTGAATGGTTGTCCCACACTTAGGATTCCAGAACACCCCAGCTGTGGTCTGAATAATTGTCCCTCACATAGGATTCCAGAACACTGCTGCTGGGTTCTGAGTGTTTGTCCCTCACATAGGATTCCAGAACACTGTTACGATGGTCTGAATGTTTGTCCCTCAAATAGGATTCCAGAACACTGCTATGAGGGTATAAATTATTCTCCCTCACATAGGATTCCAGAACACTCCTGCTGTTGTCTGAATATTTGTTCCCCACTAAGTATTCAAGAGCACTCCTGCTGCAGTCTGAGTGTTTGTCCCTCACTTAGGATTCCAGAACACTACTGTTGGGTTCTGAGTGTTTGTCCCTCAGGTACAATTCCACAACACTGCCACGTGGGTCTATATGTTTGTCTGTTACGTAGGATTCCAGAACAGTGCTACGAGGGTCTGAATGTTTTTCTCGCACATAGGACTCCAGAACACTCTTGCTGTGTTCTGAATGTATTTTCCTATGATAGGATTCCAGAAGAATGTTATGAGTGTCTGAATGCTTGTCGCACATGTAGGATTCCAGAAAACCCCAGCTGTGGTCTGAATGATTGTCCCTCACATAGGATTCCAGAACACTGCTGCTGGGTTTTCAGAGTTTGTCCCTACCATAGCATTCCAGAACACTGCGACGAGGGTCTAAATATTTGTCATTCACATAGAATTCCAGAACACTGCTACTGGGTTCTGAGTGTTTGTCCCTCACAAAGGATTCCTGAACAATGCTGCTGTGGTCTGAATGTTTGTCTCTCATATAGGATTCCAGAACACTACTGCTGTGGTCTCAACGTTTGACCCTCAGATATGATTCCAGAATACTCCTGCTGTGATCAGGGTGTTTGTGTCTCACATGGGATTCCAGAACAATCCTTCTGTGGTCTGAATGTTTCTCCCTCACATAGGATTCCAAAACATTCCTGCTGCAGTCTGAGTGTTTGTCCCTCAAACAGGATTGTAGAACACTGCTACTGGGGTCTGAATGTTTGTCCCTCACATAGGATTCCAAAACCCTGACAGGAGGGTCTGAATTATTCTCCCTCTGATAGGATTCCAGGGCACTCCTGTTGTGGTCTGAATGTTTGTCCCTCACTTAGGATTCCAGAACACTGCTGTTAGGTTCTGAGTGTTTGTCCCTCATGTGCGATTCCAGAACAATGTTACGTGGGTCTAAATATTTGTCCCTCACATAGGATTCCAGAACACTGCTAGGAGGGTCTGAATGTTTCTCTCGCACGTAGGACTCCAGAACACTCCTCCTGTTTCCTGAATGTATTTTCCTCACATGGGATTCCAGAACAATGCTACCAGGGTCTGAATGTTTTTCCCACACTTAGGATTCCAGAACACCTCAGCTGTGTTCTGAATGATTGTCCCTCCCATAGGATTCCAGAACACTGCTGCTGGGTTCTGAGTGTTTCTCCCTCACATACGATTCCAGAACACTGCTACGAGGGTCTGAATGATTGTAGTTCACATAGGATTCCAGAACACTCCTGCTCTGTTCTGAATGTTTGTCACTCAGATAGGATTCCAGAAAAAAGGTGCTGGGTTCTGAATGTTTGTCCCTCACATAGGATTTCAGAACACTCTTGCTGTGGTCTGAATGTTTGTCCCTCACATAGGATTGCAGAACACTACTGCTGTGGTCTGAATGGTTGACCCTCACATAGGATTCCAGAACATCCCTGCTCTGGTCTGGGTGTTTCCCCCTTAAATAGGATTCCAGAACACTGCTGCTGGGTTCTGAGAGTTTGTCCAACACACAGGATCCCAGAACTCTCTTGCTGTGTTCTGAATATTTGTCACTCATATAGGATTCCAGAACCCTGATGCTGTGGTCTGAATGGTTGACCCTCACATAGGATTCCAGAACAATCCTGCTGTGGTCTGTGTGTTTTTACCGCACATGGTATTCCAGAACAATCCTGCTGTAGTCTGAATGTTTCTCCCTCGCATAGGCTTCCAAAACATTCCTCCTGTGTCTGAGTGTTTGTCCCTCAAATAGGATTCCAGAACACTGGTATTGACATCTTAATGTTTGTCCCTCACTTAGGATTCCAGAACACTGCTGTTGGGTTCTGAGTGTTTATCCTCACGTACGATGCCGGAACACTGTTACGTGGGTCTTAATGTTAGCCCTCCACAGAGGACTCCAGAACACGGCTACAAGGGTATGAATGTTTGCCTCACACATAGGACTGAAGAACAATCCTGCTGTGTTCTGAATGTATTTTCCTCACATAGGATTCCAGAACAATGCTACGAGGGTCTGAATGTTTGTCCCACAAATAGGATTCCAGAACACACCAGCTGTGGGCTGAATGATTGTCCCTCACATGGGATTCCAGAACAATGCTACTGGGTTCTAAATGTTTGTCCCTCATGTAGGATTCCTGAACACTACTGCTGGGGTCTGAATATTTGTCCCTCATCTAGGATTCCAGAAGACTACTGCTGTGGTCTGAATGTTTGACCCTCACATAGGATTCCAGAACACGCCTGCTGTGGTCTGGGTGTTTGTGCCTCACATGGGATTCCAGAACAGTCCTGCTGTGGTCTGAATGTTTCTCCCTCACATATGATTCCAAAACATTTCTGCTGTTGTCTGAGTGTTTGTCCCTCAAATAGGATTCTAGAACACTGCTACTGGGGTATGAATGTTTGTTCCTCTCATAGGATTCCAGAACACTGCTACGAGGGTCTGAATTATTCTACCCCACATAGGATTCCAGGACACTCCTGCTGTGGTCAGAATGTTTGTCCCTCACTTAGTATTCCTGAACACTGCTGTTGGGTTCTCAGTGTTTGGCCCTCACATACTATTCCAGAACACCACAGCTGTGGTCTGAATGTTTGTTCCTCAGATGGGATTCCAGATCACTCCTGCTGTTGTCTGAATGTTTTTCCCTCTTATAGGCTTGCAGAACACTACTGCTGTTGTCTGAATGGTTGACCGTCACATAGGATTCCAGAACACCCCTGCTCTTGTCTGGGTGTTTGTCCCTAAAATAGGATTCCAGAACACTGCTGCTGCGTTCTGAGTGTCTGTCCCTTCACATAGGATTCCAGAACAGTGCTGATATGGTTTGAATATTTGTTCCTCCATAGAATTCTAGAACAATCCTGCTGTAATCTGAATGTTTGTCTCTCATACAGGATTCCAGACTACTACTGCTGTGGTCTGAATGTCTGACCATCACATAGGATTCCAGAACAATCCTGCTGTGGTCTGGGTGTTTGTGCCTCACATGGGATTGCAGAACAATCCTGCAGTAGTCTGAATGTTTCTCCCTCACATTGGATTCCAAAACATTCCTGCTATGGTCTGAGTGTTTGTCCCTCAAATACGATTCCAGAACACTGGTATTGAGGTCTGAATATTTGTCCATCACATAGGAATCCAGAACACTATCACGAGGGTTTGAATTATTCTCCCTCACATAGGATACCAGCGCACTCCTGCTGTGGTCTGAATGTTTGTCCCTCATTAGGATTCCAGAACACTGCTGTTGGGTTCTGAGTGTTTGTCCCTCACGAAAGATTCCAGAACACTCCCATGTGGGTCTAAATGTTTTTCCCTCACATAGGATTCCAGAATACCGCTAAGAGGGTCTGAATGTTTGTCCCGCACATAGGACTCCAGAACACTCCTGATGTGTTCTCAATGTATTTTCCTCACATAGGATTCCAGAACAATGCTACCGGGGTCTGAATGTTTTTCCCACATATAGGATTCCAGAACACCCCAGCTGTGGTCTGAATGATTGTACCTTACATAGGACTCCCGAACACTGCTGCTGGGTTCTGAGTGTTTCTCCATCACATAGGATTCCAGAACACTGCTGCTGGATTCTGAGTGGTTCTCCATCACATAGGATTCCAGAACACTGCTACAAGGGTCTGAACCATTGTATCTCACATAGGATTCCAGAACACTCCTGCTGTGGTCTGAATGTTTGTACCTCATCTAGGATTCCCGAGCACTGCTGCTGTGGTCTGAATGGTTGACCATCACATAGGATGGCAGAACACTCCTGCTGTGGTCTGGGTGTTTGTGCCTCCAATGGGATTCCAGAACAATCCTGCTGTGGTCTGAATGTTTCTCCCTCACATAGGGTTCCAAAGCATCCCTGCTGTGCTCTGAGTGTTTGTCCCTCAAATAGGATTCCAGAACACTGCTACTGTGGTCTGAATGTTTGTTCCTCACATAGGATTGCAGAACACTGCTACGAGGCTCTGAATTATTCTCCCTTACATAGGATTCCAGAACACTCCTGCTGTGGTCTGAATGTTTGTCCCTCACTTAGAATTCCGCAACGCTGATGTTGGGTTCTGAGGGTTTGTCCCTCACGTACGACTCCAGAACACTGCTACGTGGGTCTAAAGGTTTCTCCCTCACATAGGATTCCAGAACACTGCTACAAGCCTCTGAATGGTTGTCCCGCACATAGGACTCCAGAAGATTCCTGATGTGTTCTGAATGTGTTTTCCTCACATGCGATTCCAGATCAATTCTAATTGTGTCTGAATGTTTGTTCCACACGTAGGATTACAGAACACCCCAGCTGTGGTCTGAATGATTGTCCCTCACATAGGATTCCAGAACACTGCTGCTGGTTTTTGAGTGTTTCTCCCTCACGTAGGATTCCAGTACACTGCTACGAGTGTCTCAATGATTGTACTTCACAGAGGATTAAAGAACACTCCTGCTCTGGTCTGAATGTTTGTCCCTCAGATAGGATTCCAGAACACTGCTGCAAGGTTCTGAGTGTTTGTCCCTCACATGAGATTCCAGAACACTGATGCTGTGGTCTCAATGTTTGCTCCTCACCGAAGTTTCCAGAATAAGCCTGCTGTTGTCTTAATGTTTGTTCCTCAAATAGGATTACAGAACACTACTGCTGTGGTCTGAAAAGTTGACCGTCATATAGGATTCCAGAACACTAGTGCTGTGGTCTGGCTGTTTGTGCCTCACGTTGGATTCTAGAACAATCCTTCTGTGTTCTGAATGTTTCTTCCTCACATAGGCTTCCAAAATATTCCTGCTGTGGTCTGAGTGTTTGTCCCTCAAATAGGATTCCAAAACACTGCTACTTGGGTCTAAAGGATTGTCCCTAACATAGGATTCTGGAACACTCCTACGAGGGTCTGTATGTTTCTTCCGCACATAGGACTCCAGAACACTCCTGCTGTATTGTGAATGAATTTTCCTCAAATAGGATTGCAGAACAATGCTGCGAGGGTCTAAATGTTTGTCTCACAGGTAGGATTCCAGAACACCCCAGCTGTGGTCTGAATGATTGTCCCTCACATAGGATTCCATAACACTGCTGCTGGGTTCTGAGTGTTTCTCCCTCACATAGGAAACCAGGACACTGCTACTGGGTTCTGAATGATTGTACCTCACATTGGACTCCAGAACACTCCTACTGTGGTATGAATGTTTGTCTCTCAGACAGGATTACAGAACACTGTTGCTGGGTTCTGAATGTTTGTCACTCACATAAGATTCCAGAACACTGCTCTTGTGTTCTGAATGTTTGTTCCTCACATAGGATTTCAGAACACTCCTGCTGTGGTCTGAATGGTTGAACCTCATATAGGATTCCAGAACACTCCTTCTGTGGTCTGGGTGTTTGTGCCTTACATGGGATTCCAGAACAATTCTGCTGTTGTCTGAATGTTTCTCTCTCACATAGGATTCCAAAACATTCCTGCTGTGGACTGAGTCTTTGTCCCTCAAATAAGATTCCAGAGACCTGGTACTGGGGTCTGAATGTTTGTCCCTCACATAGGATTCCATAACACTGCTATGAGGTTCTGAATTATTCTCCCACACATAAGGTTGCAGAACACTCCTGCTGTGGTCTGAATGTTTGTCCCTATCTTATTATTCCAGAACACTGATGTTGGGTTCTGAGTGTTTGTCCCTCACGTACGATTCCAGAACACTACTAAGTGGGTCTAAATGTTTGTCCCTCACATAGAATTCCAGAACACTGTTACGAGGGTGTGAATGTTTGCCTCACATAGCATTCCAGAACAATGCTACAAGGGTCTGAAAGTTTGTCCCACATGCAGGATTCCAGAACACCACAGGTGTGGTCTGAATGATTGTCCCTCAAATAGGATTACAGAAGACTGCCGCTGGGTTCTGAGGGTTTCTCCCTCACACAGGATTCCAGAATACCGCTACGAGGGTCTGAATGATTGTCCCTCACATAAGATTCCAGAACCCTCCTGCTGTGGTCTGAATGGTTATACCTTACATCCGATTCCAGAACACTGCTGCTGGGTTCTGAGTGTTTGTCCCTCACATAGGATTCCAGAACACTTCTATGAGGGTCTGAATGTTTGTCCCTCACATAGGATTCAAGAACACCCAATCTATGGTCTGAATGATTGTCCCTCACATAGGATTCCATATCACTACTGCTGGGTTCTGAGTGTTTCTCTCTCACATAGGATTCCAGAACATTACTACGAGGTTCTGAATGATTGTACCTCTCATAGGATTCCAGAATACTCCTGCTTTGGTCTGAATTTCCGTCCCTCAGATAGAATGCCAGAACACTGCTGCTGGGTTCTTAGTGTTTGTCCCTTACATAGGATTCCAGAACACTGCTACGAGGGTATGAATGTTTGTCCCTCACATAGAATTCTAGAACACTACTGCTGTGGTCTGAATGGTTGACCTTCACATAGCATTCTAGAACACTCCTGCTGTTGTCTGAGCGTTTGTGCCTCACATGGGATTCCAGAAAAATCCTGTGGTCATCTGAATGTTTCTCCCTAACATAGGATTCCAAAACATCCCTGTAGTGTTCTGAGTGTTTGTCCCTCAAATAGGATTCCAGAATGCTGCTACTGGGTTCTAAATGTTTGTCCCTCACATAGGATTCCAGAGCAATGCTATGACCATCTGAATTATTCTCCCTCACATAGGATTCCAGAACACTACTGCTGTGGTCTGAATGTTTGACCCTCATATAGGGTTCCAGAACACTCTTGTGTTCTCCGTGTTTGTGCCTTACATTGGTTTCTGGAACAATCCTGCTGTGGTCTGAATGTTTCTCCCTAACATGGGATTCTAAAATATTCCTGCTGTGGTCTGAGGGTTTGTCCCTCAAATAGGATTCCAGAAAACTGTAACTTGAGTCTGAATGTTTCTCCCTCACATAGGATTCCAGATCACTGCTACGAGGGTCTGCATTATTCTCCCTCACAAAGGATTCCAGGAGACTCCTGCTGTGGTCTGAATGTTTGTTCCTCACTAAGAATTCCAGAACACTGCTGTTGGGTTCTCAGTGTTTGTCCCTCACGTACGATTACAGAACACTGCTACATGAGTCTAAAAGTTTTTCCCTCAATAGGATTTCGGAACACTGCTGCTGGCGTCTGAATGTTTGTACCTCACATGGGATTCCAGAACAATCGTGCTGTGGTCTGAACGTTACTCACATAGGATTCCAGAACATTCCTTCTGTGGTCTGAATGTTTCTCCCTCACGTCGGATTCCAGAACACTGCTACGAGAGTCTGAATACTTTTCCCTCACATAGGATTTCAGAACACTGCTAAGAGGGTCTGAATGTTTGTCCTTCACATAAGATCCAAGAACACTGCCTCTGGGTTTTGATCGTTTGTCCTTCACATCGAATTCTAAAACACTGCCACAGGAGTCTGAAAGTTTGTCCCTCACATAGGATTCAAGAACACTGCTAAGAGGTTCTGAAGCTTTGTCCCTCACATAGGATTCTGGAAAAATTTTGCTGTGGTCTGAATGTTTGTTCTGCACAAAGGATTCCAGAAAACTTCTGCTGTGGTCTGTATATTTGTCCCTCACATAGGATTCCAGAACACCCCTGCTGGGTTCTGGCTGTCCCTCACATAAGACGCAATAACCCTTCTGCTGTGATCTGTATGTTTGTCCCTCACATAGGATTCCACAACACTGCTAGGAGGGTCTGAATGTTTGTCCTTCACATAGGATTCCAGAACACTGCTGCTGGGGACTAAATGTTATTCCTTCAAAAAGGATTCCAGAACACTTCTGCTGGGGTCTGGATGTTTTCTCCCTCACATAGGATTGCTTAAAAATGCTTCTAGGCTCTAAATGTTTGTCCATCACAGAGGATTCCAGAACCGTTCTGCTGGTTTCTGACTGTTTCTCCCACATATAGGTATCCAGAACACTGCTGCAGGGGTCTGAATGTTTATCCATCATATAGGATTAAAGAACACTCCTGCTTAGGTCTGAATGTTTGCCCCTCATATAGGATTCCAGAACAATGCTTCTGGCATCTGAATGTTTGTCGCTCGCATAGGATTCCACAACACTGCTGCTGGTTTCTGAGTGTTTGGCCTTCACATAGGATTCCAGAACACTGCTACCAGGGTCTGAATGTCTGTCTCTCACATAGGATTCCAGAACATTCCTCCTGTGGTATGAATGTTTGTCCCTCTCATAGGATTCCAGAACACTGCTGCTGGGTTCTGAGTGGTTAGCCCTCACAAAGGATTCCAGAACACTGCTAAGAGGGACTGAATGTTTGTCCCTCAAATAGCATTCCAGAACACTCCTGATGTGGTCTAAATATGCGTTCCTCACATAGGATTCCAGAAGAATTCTGCTCTAGTCTGAATCTTTGTCCCTCACTAGTATTCCAGAACACTGCTTCAAGGGTCTGAATGTTTGTCCCTCACAGGGGATTCTAGTACACTCCTGTTGTGGTCTGACTGTTTGTCCCCCACATAGGATTCCAGAACACTGCTAGGAGGAACTAAATGCTTACCCCTCACATAGGTTTCCGGAACACTCTTACCAGGGTCTGAATGTTTGTCCCTCACAGGGGATTCCAGAACACTCCTGTTGTGATATGAGTGTTTCTCCCTCACATATGATTCCAGAACACTCCTGCTGTTGTCTGAATGCTTTTCCCTCACACAGGTTCCCAGAACACTCCTGTTGGGTTGTGAGTGTTTGTCCCTCTCCTAAGATTCCAGAAAACTGCTACGAGGTTCTGAATATTTGCCCCTCACATAGGACTCCAGGACACTGCTGCTGTGTTGTAAATGTTTGTTTCTCACATAGGATTTCAGAAGACTCCTGCTGTTGTCTTAAAGTTTGTCCCACACATAGGATTCCAAAACAGTCCCGCTGTTGTTTGAATGTTTGTCCCTTACATAGGATTCCAAAACAATGCTGCTGGCGTCTGAATGTTTGTCCCTCACGTAGGATTCAAGAACACCGTTACGAATGTCTGAATGTTTGTTCCTCACATAGGATTTCAGAACAATACAGCTGTGATCTGACTGTTTGTCCCTCAAATAGGGTTCCAGAACACTGCTGCTGGGTTCTGAGTGTTTGTCCCTCACATCGGATTCCTGAACACCGCTGCGAGTGTCTGAATGATTGCTCCTCACATAGGATTCTAGAACAGTGCTGCTGAGGTCTAAATGTTTGTCCGACACATATGATTCCAGAACACTGCTAAGAGGGTCTGAAGGTTTGTTCCTCACACAGAATTCCAGAACACTGCTACGAGCATCTGAAAGTTTGTCCCTCACACAGGATTCCAGAACACTGCTACGAGGGTCTGAAAGTTTGTCCCTCACACAGAGTTCCAGAACACTGCTACGAGCATCTGAAAGTTTGTCCCTCACACAGAATTCCAGAACACTGCTACAAGCATCTGAATGATTGTCCCTCATATAGGATTCCAGAACGCTGCTGCTGGGGTGTGAATGTTTGTCCCTCACATAGGATTCCAGAACAATGCTGCTGGAGTCTATATGTATGTCCTTCACATGATTCCAGAACCTTGCTGCTGGGTTCTGAGTATTTCTCCCTCACATAGAATTCCAGAACACTGCGACGAGGGTCTGAATGTTTGTTCATAACATAGGATTCCAGAACACTTTCGCTGTTGTTTTAAAGTTTGTCCCTCACATAGGATTCCAGAACACTGCTGCTGAGGTCTGAATGTTTGTCCCTCGCATAGGATTCCAGAACACTGCTGAGACTGTCTGAATGTTTGTCCCTCACATATTATTCCAGAACATTGCTACGATTGTCTAAATGTTTGTCCCTAACATAGCATTCCAGAACAATGCTCCGAGGGTCTGAATGTTTGTCCCTCACATACGATTCTGGAACACTGATACGATTGTCTGAATGTTTCTCCCTCACATATGATTCTGGAACACTGCTACGAGGGTCTCAAAATTTGTCCCTCACATAGGATTCCAAAACACTCCTGCTGTGTTCTGAGTGTTTGTCCCTAACATAGGATTCCAGAAGAATCCTGCAGTGGTCTCAATGTTTGTCCCTCACATAGGGTTCCAGAACACTGCTGCTGGGTTCTGAGTGTTTGTACCTCACATAGGATTCCAGAACACTGCTGCTATGGTCTAAATGTTTGTCCATCACGTAGGATTCCAGAACATTGCTACAAGGGTCTGAATGTTTCTTCCTCACAGGGCATTCCGTAACACTCCTGCTGTGGTCTGAATGTTTGTCCCTCAGACAGGATTCCAGAACACTACTACGAGGTTCCTAATGTATGTCCATCACACAGAATTCCAGAACACTGCTCTGAGGGTCTGAATGATTGTCCCTCTCATGTTATTCCAGTACACTACTGATGGGGTCTGAATGTTTGTCCCTCACATAGGATTCCAGAACACTGCTACGGGGCTCTGAATATTTGTCACTCACATAGAATTCCAGAACCCTTCTACGATTGTCTGAATGTTTGTCCCTCACATAGGATTCCAGAACACCGCTACGAATGTCTGAAGGTTTGTCCCTCACTTAGGATTCCAGAAGAATACAGCTGTGGTCGGAATGTTTGTATCTCACATAGGGTTCCAGAACACTGTTGCTGGGTTCTGAGTATTTGTACTTCACATAGGATTCCAGAACACTGCTACGAGTGTTTGAATGACTGTCCCTCACATAGGATTCCAGAACACTTCTACGATTGTCTGAATGTTGGTCTCTCACACAGGGTTCCAGAAGACTGCAGCTGGGTTCTGAGTGTTTGTCCCTCACTTAGAATTCCAGAACACTGCAATGATGGTTTGAATATACGTTCCTAACATAGGATTCCAGAACACTCCCGCTCTTGTTTGAATGTTTGTCCCTCACATAGGATTCCAGAACACTGCTACGGTTTTCTGAATGTTTGTCCCTCACATAGGATTCCAGAACACTTCTACGATTGTCTGAATGTTGGTCCCTCGCATAGGATTCCAGAACATTGTTATGAGGGTCTGAATGTTTGTTCCTCACAGGGGATTCCAAAACACTCCTGCTGTGTTCTGAGTGTTTGTCCCTCACATAGGATTCCAGATCACTGCAACGAGGGTCTGAATGAATGTGCCTCATATAGGATTCTAGAACGCTGCTGCTGAGGTCCGAATGTTTCTCTCTGACATAGGGTTTCAGAAAACTGCTACAAGTGTCTGAATGTTTGTCCCTAATATAGGATTCCATAACACTCCGGCTGTGGTCTGAATGTCTGTCCCTCACACAAGATTCCAGAACTCTGCTGCTGTAGTATGAATGGATCTCCATCACATAGCATTCCAGAACACTGCTACGAGGGTCTGAATGTTTGTGCCTCAAATAGGATTCCAGAACACTGCTGCTGGGGTCCGAATGTTTGTGCTCACATAGGATTCCAAAGCACTGCTATGAGATTCTGAATGTTTTTCCATCACATAATATTCCAGAAAACTGCTACGAGCGTCTGGAAGTTTGTGCCTCACATAGGACCAAAGAACTCTGCTGCTAGAATGCGAATGTTTGTTGCTAACATACAATTCCAGAACACTCCTGCTGTGTCTGAATGTTTGTCTTTCACAAAAGATTCCAGAACACTCCTACCGGGGTCTTAATTTTTGTCCCTCACATAGGATTCAACAACACTGTTGCTGGGGTCTCAAAGTTTGTCCCTCAGGTAGGATTCCAGAACACTGCTGCTGGGGTCTAAAAGTTTGTCTGTCACATAGGATGCCAGAAAACTGCTGTTAGTTTCTGAGTGTTTCTCCGTCACATAGAATTCCATAACAATGCAATGAGGATCTGAATGTTTGTCCATAACATAGGATTTCAGAACACTCCAGTTATTGTTTCAATGTTTGTCCCTCGCATAGGATTCCAGAACACTGCTAAGAGGGTCTGAATGTTTGTTCCTCACATAGGATTCCAAAACACTCCTGCTGTGTTCTGAGTGTTTGTCCTTCACATAGGATTCCAGATCAATCATGCAGTGGTCTGAATGGGTGTCCCTCACATAGGTTTCCAGAACACTGCAACAGGGGTCTGAATGTTTTTCCCTCACATTGCATTCCAGAAAACTGCTACGATTCTCTGAATGTTTGTCTCCCACATAGGATTCCAGAACACTGCTACGAGGGTCTGATTGTTTTTTTCTCACATTGGACCCCAGAACTCTGTTGCTGGGGTCTATATGTTTCTCTGTCAAATAGGATTCCAGAACCCTGATACGAGGGTCTGAATGTTTGTTCCTCACAGGGGATTCCAGAACACTCCTTCTTTGGTTTAAAGCTTTGTCCCTCACACGGAATTACAGAACAGTGGTACGAGGGTCTGAATGATTGTCCTTCCCATAGGATTCCAGAACACTGCTATGATAGTCTTAATATTTGTCCCTCACATAGGATTCCAGAACACTGCTACGATAGTCTGAATGTTTGTCCCTAACATAGGATTCCAGAACACTGCTATGAGGATCTGAATATTTGTCTCTCACATAGGATTCCAAAACACTCTTGCTGTGTTCTGAGGGTTTGTCTCTCACATAGGATTCCAGAACACCGCTACGACAGTCTGAATGTTTGTCCCTCACATTGGATTTAAGAACACTGTTATGAAGTTCTGAATGTTTGTCCCTCACATAGGATTCCAGAACACTGCTACGATTATGTGAATGTTTGCTCCTCACATAGGATTCCAGAACACTGCTACGAGGGTCTGAATATTTGTCCTCCAAGTTGGATTCCAAAACACTCCTGCTGTTTTCTGAATGTGTGTCCCTCACATAGAATTCCAGAACAATCCTGCTGTGGTCTGAATGTTTGTCCCTAACATAGTGTTCCAGAACACTGCAGCTGGGTTCTGAGTGTTTGTCCCTCACATAGGATTCCAGAACACTGCTACGAGTGTCTGAATGTTTCTCTCTCACATAGGATTCCAGAACACTGCTGCTGGGGTTTAAATGATTGTCCATCACATAGGATTCCTGAACACTGCTACGAGTGTCTCAATGTTTGTTCCTCACCGGGGATTCCACAACACCCCTGCTGTGGTCTGAAAGTTTGTCCCTCACATTGAATTCCAGAAAACTGCAAGGAGGGTCTGAATGTTTGTCCCTCACACAGAATTCCAGAACACTACTACGAGGGTCTGATTGACTGTCCCTCACGTAGGATTCCAGAACACTGCTTCTGGGGTCTTAATGTTTGTCCCCCACATAGGACTCCAGAACACTGCTGCAGGAGTCTATGTGTATGTCTTTCACATCGGATTCCAGAACACTGAGGCCGGGTTCTGAGTGTTTCTCCCTCACATAGATTCCAGAACACTGCATCGAGGGTCTGAATGTATGTTTCTTTTTATGTTATATTATTTCGTTTATTATTATTATACTTGGAATTTATGTTTCTAACGTAGGATTCCAGAACACTTCCGCTGTTTTTTGAATGTTTTTCCCTCACATAAGATTCCAGAACACTGCTGCTGGGGACTGAATATTTGTCACTCACATTCCAGAACAGTTCTACGGTTGTCTGAATGTTTCTCCCTCACATAGGATTCCACAACACTGCTACAAGGGTCTGAATGTTTGTCCCTCAGATAGGATTTCAGAACACTTCTACGATTGTCTGATTGTTGGTCCCTCACATCGGATTCCAGAACACTGCGACGAGGGTCTGAATATTTGTTCCTCACAGGGGATTCCAAAACACTCCTGCTGTGTTCTGTTTGTCCCTCACATAGGATTCCAGATCACTGCAACGAGGGTCTGAATGAATGTGCCTCATATAGTATTCCACAACACTGCTGCTGGGGTCTGAATGTGTGTCCCTCACATAGGATTCCAGAACACTGCTGCTGCAGTCTACTCGTGTGTCCCTCACATTGGATGCCAGAACACTGCTGCTGGTTCTGAGTGTTTCTCCCACACATAGAATTCCAGAACACTGCAACGGGGGTCTGAATGTATGATCCTAACTTAGGATTCCAGACCACTCCCGCTCTTGTTTGAGTGTTTGTCTGTCACATGGGATTCCAGAACACTTCTGCTAGGGTCTGAATGTTTGTCCATAACATAGGACTCCAGAACACTCCCGCTGTTGTTTGAACGTTTGTCCCTCATATAGGATTCTAGAACACTGCTTCTAGGTTCTGAATGTTTGTCCCTCACGTAGGATTCCAGAACACTGCTACAATTGTCTGAACCTTTGTCCCTCATATAATATTCCAGAACACTTCTGTGAGGATCGAAATGTTTGTCACATATTATTACAGAACACCCCCACTCTGGTCTGAATGTTTCTCCCGCACATAGGATGACAGAATACTGCTGAGAGGGTCTGAATGATTGTCCCTCAAATAGGATTCCAGATCAATGCTGCTGGGGTCTAAAGGTTTGTCCGTCACATCGGATTCCAGGTTACTGCTACAGGGTTCTGAATGTTTATTCCTCACAGGGGATTCCAGATCACTACTTCTGTGTTCTGAAAGTTTGACCCTCACGTAGGATTCTGGAACACTGCCATGATTGTCTGAAAGTTTTTCCCTCACACAGAATTCCAGAACAATGCAACGAGGGACTGAATGATTGTCTCTCATGTAGGATTTCAGAAGACTGCTGCTGGGGTCTGAATGTTTGTCCCTCACATACGAGTCCAGAACACTGCTGCTGAGGTCTGCATGTATGTCCATCGCATAGAATACCAGAACACTGCTGCGGAGTTCTGAGTCTTTCTCCGTCACATAGAATTCCGGAAAACTGCAATGATGGTCTGAATGTTTGTCCGTAACATAAGATTCCCGAACACTCCCGCTGTTGTTTGTTTGAATGTTTGTTCCTCACATAGGATTCCAGAACACTGCTGCTGGGTTCTGAATGTTTGTCCCTCACATAGGATTCCAGAACACTGCTACGATTGTCTGAATGTCTGTCCATCACATAGGATTCCAGAACACTGCTGCTGGGGTCTAAATCTTTGTCCGTCACATTGGATTCCAGAACACAGCTATGAGGGTCTGAATGTTTCTCCCTCACAGGCGATTCCAGAACACTCCTGCTGTGGTCTGAATGTTTGTCCCTCACATAGGTTTCCAGAGCACTAGTAGGAGTGTCTGATTTTTTGTCCTCCCATAGGATTCCAAAACACTGCTACGAGGTTCTGAATGTTTTTCCCTCACATAGGATTTCAGAACACTGCTGCGAGCATCTGAATTTTTGTTTCTCACATAGGACAAAAGAACACTGGTGCTGGGGTCTGAATGTTTGTTGCTCCCATAGGATTCCAGAACACTCCTGCTGTAGTCTGAATGTTTCTCATTAACAAAAGATTCCAGAACACTCCTGCTGGGATCTCAATATTTGTCCCTCACACAGGATTCAAGGACACTGCTGCTCTGGTCTGAAAGTTTGTCCCTCACATAGGATTCCAGTACACTGCTACGAGGGTCTGAATATTTGTCCCTCACATAGGATTCCAGAACACTGCTGCGATTGTTTGAATGTTTGTCTTTCACGTAGGATTTCAGAACACTGATACAAGAGTCTGAATGTTTGTCCCTCACATCGGATTCCAGAACACTCCTATGATTGTCTGAATGTTTGTCCCTTAGATAGGATTCCAGAACACTGCTACGAGGGTCTGAATGTTTTTCCCTCATATAGGATTCCAAAACACTCCTGCTGTGTTCTGAGTGTTTGTAGACACATCAGATCCAGAACACTACTGTTGTGATCTGAATGTTTCTGCATCACACCAGATTCCAGAACACGCTACGAGGTTCTGAATGACGGTCCCACACATAGGATTCCAGAACACCGCTGCTGGGGTCTAAATGTTTGTCCATCACACAGGATTCAAGAACAGTGCTACGAGGGTCTGAATGTTTCTTCCTCACTGGGGATTCCAGAATAGTCCTGCTGTGGTCTGAATGTTTGTCCCTCACACAGAATTCCAGAACACTGTTACGAGGGTCTGAATGATTGTCCTTCATATAGGATTCCAGAACTCTGCTGCTGGTGCCTGAATGTTTTTCCCTCACATAGGATTCCAGAACGCTGCTGCTGGGGTCTACATGTATGTCCGTCACATAGGAATCCAGAACACTGCTGCTGGGTTCTGTGTGTCTCTCCCTCACATAAATTCCAGAACACTGCGACGAGGGTATGCATGTTTGTCCGAAACGTAGGATGTCAGACGCTCTCGCTGTTTTTTGAATGTTTATCCCTCCCATAGGATTCCAGAACACTCTACGATTGTCTGAATGTCTGACCCTCACATAGGATTCCAGAACACTGCTGGGAGGCTCTGAATTTTTGTCCCTCCCATAGGATTACAGAACACTGCTACGATTGTCTGCATTTTTGTCCCTCACATAGGATTCCAGAACACTGCTACGACTGTCTGCATTTTTGTCCCTCACATAGTATTCCAGAACACTGCTAGGATGATCTGAATATTTGTCCCTCACATAGGATTCCAGAACACTGCTAGGATGATCTGAATATTTGTCCCTCACATAGGATTGCAGAACACTGCTATGAGTGTATGAATGTTTGCCTCTCACATAGGATTCCAGAACACGGCTTTGATTATCTAAATGTTAGTCCCTCACATAGGATTCCTGAACACTCCTGCTGTGGTCTGATAGTTTTTCCCTCACATAGGATTCCAGAACACTGCTACGAGGCTCTGAATGTTTGTCCCTCACATAGGATTCCAAAACACTCCTGCAGTGTTCGAAGTGTTTGTCCCCCACATAGGATTTCAGAACAATCTTGCTGTGGTCTCAATGTTTGTCTCTCCATAGGATTCCAGAATACAGTTGCTGAGTTCTGAGGGTTTGTCCCTCACATAGGATTCCAGAACACTGCTACGAGGTTCTGAATGTTTGTCTCTCACATAGGATTCCAGAACACTGCTGCTGGGGTCTAAATGTTTGTCCATCACATCGGAATCCAGACCACTTTTATGAGGGTCTAAAAGTTTCTTCCTCACAGGAGATTCCAGAACACTTCTGCAGTGTTCTGAATGTTTGTACCTCACATAGGATTCCAGAACACTGCTGCTGCCATCTAAATGTTTGTCTGTCACATAGGATTCCAGAACACTGCTATGAGGTCTCAATGTTTGTCCCTCACGTAGTATTCCAGAACACTGCTACGAGGGTCTGAATGTTTGTACCTCACAGAGCATTCCAGAACACTGCTATGAGTTTCTGGATGTTTATCCCTCACACAGAATTCCACAATACTGCTACAAGGGTCTGAATGATTGTCCCTCTCATAGGATTCCAGAACACTGCTGCTGGGGTCTGAATGTTTGTACCTCACATAGGATTCCAGAACACTGCTGCTGGGTTCTGGATGTTTGTCCATCATATAGGATTCCACCACACTGCTGCTGGGGTGTAGATTTATGGGCGTCACCTAGATTCCAGAACACTGCTGCAGGTTTCTGAGTGTTTCTCCCTCACATAGAATTCTAGAACACTGCAACTAGGGTCTGAATGTTTGTCCTTAACATAGGATTTCAGAACACTCCCGCTGTTGGTTGAATGTTTCTCCCTTACATAGGATTCCAGAACACTGCTCCTGGGGTCTGAATGTTTGTCCCTCACATAGGATTCTGGAACACTGCTATGATTATCTTAATACATGTCCCTCACAAAGGATTCCAGAACATTCCTACGAGGGTCTGAATGTATGTCCCACACATAGGATTCCAGAACACTGCTGCTGGGGTCTGAATGTTTGTCCCTCACATAGAATACCAGAAAACTGCTACGATTGTCTGAATGTTTGTTCCTCACTGGGGATTCCAGAACACTGCTACTGGGTCTAAATGTTTATCCATCACTTAGGATTCCAGAACACTGCTACGAGGGTCGGAATGTTTGTTCCTCACGGTGGATTCCAGAACACTCCTGCTGTGGTCTGAATGTTTGTCCCTCACACAGGGCTCCAGAACACTTCTACAAGGGTCTGAATGTTTCTCACTCACACAGAATTCCAAAACACTGCAACGAGGGTCTGAATGATCATCCCTCACATAGGAGTCCAGAACAATGCTGCTGGGGTCTACATGTCTGACCGTCACATAGGATTCCAGAACAATGCTGCTGGGGTCTGCATGTCTGTCCGTCACATAGGATTCCAGAACAATGCTGGTGGGTTCTGAATGTTTCTCCCTCACATAGAATTCCAGAACACTCGGACGAGGGTCTGAATATTTGCCTGTAACATAGGATTCCAGAACACTCCCACTGTTGTATGAATGTTTGTCCCTCACATAGGATTCCAGAACGCAGCAGCTGAGGTCTGAATGTTTGTCCCTCACATAGGATTCCAGAATTCTGCTATGATTGTCTGAACGTTTTTCCCTCACATAAAACTCCAGAACACTGCTGCTGGGGTCTGAATGTTTGTCTGTCACATAGGATTCCAGAACACTTTTACTAGTGTCTGAATGTTTGTTCCTCACTGGGGATTCCAGAGCACTCTTCCTGTGGTCTGAATGGTTGTCCTTCACATAGGATTCCAGAACACTGCTACGACGTTCTGAATGCTTGTCCCTCACACAGAATTCCAGAACACTGTTACGAGGGTACGAATGACTGTGCCTCGCATAGAATTCCAGAACACTCCTGCTGAGGTCTAAATGTTTGTCCGTAACATAGGATTACAGAACAATCCTGCTGTGGTCTGAAATTTTGACCCTCACACAGGGTTCCAGAACACTGCTGCTCATTTCTGAGTGTTTGTCCCTCACATAGGATTCAAGAACACTGTGAAGACGGTGTGAATATTTGTCTGTAACATAGGATTATGGAACACTCCCGCTGTTGTTTGAATGTTTATCACTCACATAGGATTCCAGAACACTGCTGCTGGGGTCTGAATGTTTGTCCCTCACATAGGATTCCAGCACACTGCTATGATTATCTCAATGTTTGTCCCTCACATAGGATTCCAGAATACTCCTTTGAGGGTCTGAATGTTTGTCCCTCACATAGGATTCCAGAACACTGCTACAAAACTCTGAATGCTTTTCCCTCACATAGGATTCCAGAACACTGCTAACTAGGGTTTGAATGTATGTCCCTCCCATAGGATTCCAGAACACTCCTGCTGTGGTCTGAATGCTTGTCCCTCACATACGATTCCAGAACACTACTACGAGGGTCTGAATTTTTGTCACTCACATAGGATTCCAAAACATTCCTGTTATTTTCTTAGTGTTTGTCCCTCACATATCATTCCAGAACAATCCCGCTGTGGTCTGAATGTTTGTCCCTCACATAGGATTCCACAAAACTGCTACAAGATTCTGAATGGTTTTCCTCACTGAGGATTCCAGAACACTGCTCCTGGGGTATAAATATTTGGCCGTCACATAGGATTCCAGAACACTACTACGAGGGTCTGTATGTTTGTTCCTCACAGGGGATTCCAGAACACTAATGCTGTGGTCTGAATGTTCGTTCCTAACACAGGATTCTGGTACACTGCTATGAGGGTCAGAATGTTTGTCCCTCACATTGGATTCCAGAACAATGCTACCAATGTCTGAATGTTTGTCCCTCACATAGAATTCCAGATCACTGCTATGAGGGTCTGAATGTTTGTCCCTCACATAGGATTCCAGAACACTCCTGCTATGGTCTGTATATTTGTCCCTCACATATGATTCCAGAACACTGCTACGAGAGTCTAAACGTTTGTCCCTCACACAGGATTTCAAAACCTTTCTGCTGGGTTCGGAGTGTTGGTCCCTCACATAGGTTTCCAGAACAATCCTGGCATGGTCTGAATGTTTATCCCTCACATAGGGTTCCAGAACACTGCTGCTGGTTTCAGTGTGTTTGTCGCTCATGTAGGATTCCAGAACACTGCTATGAGGGTCTGAATGTTTCTACCTCACATAGGATTCCAGAACACTGCTGCTGGGGTCTAAATGTTTGTCTGTCACATAGGATGATTTCACATAGGATTACAGAACACTGCTAAGAGGGTCTGAATGTTTGTTCCTCACAGATGATTCCAGAACACTCCTGCTGTTGTCTGAATGTTTGTTCCTCACAGATGATTCCAGAACACTCCTGCTGTTGTCTGAATGTTTGTCAATCACATAGGATTCCAGAACACTGCTATGAGGCTCTGAATGTTTGTTCCTCACACAGAATTCCAGAATACTGCTACCAGGGTCTGAATGATTATCCCTATTCTAGGATTCCAGAACACTGTTGCTAGGGTCTGAATGTTTGTCTGTCTCATAGGATTCCAGAATAATGCTGCTGGGGTCTACATGTGTGTCCATCCCATAGGATTCCAGAACAGTGCTGCTGGTTTCTAAATGTTTCTCCCTCACATAGAATTCCAGAACACTGCGACAAGGGTCTGATATTTGTCCATAACATAGGATTACAGAACACTCCCACAGTTGTTTGAATGTTTGTCCCTCACATAGGAATCCAGAACACTGCTAATGGGGACTGAATGTTTGTCCCTCACGCAGGATTCCAGAACAATGTTACGATTATATTAATATTTGTCCATAACATAGGATTACAGAACACTCCCGCAGTTGTTTGAATGTTTGTCCCTCTCAAAGGATTCCAGAACACTGCTACGCGGGTCTGAATGTTTGTCCGTAACATATGATTCAAGGACACTCCCGCTGTTGTTTGAATGTTTGTCCCTCACATAGGATTCCAGAACACTGCTGCTGTGGTCTAAATGTTGGTCCCTCACATAGGATTACAGAACACTGCCACGAGGGTCTGAATATTTGTTCCTCACAGGGGATTCGAGAACACTCCTGCTGTGGTCTGAATGTTTGTCAATCACATAGGATTCCAGAACACTCCTATGAGGCTCTGAATGTTTGTCCCTCACACAGAATTGCAGAACACTGCAGCCAGGATCTTAATGATTATCCCTACTCTAGGATTCCAGAACACTGCTGCTGGGGTCTGAATGTTTGTCCGTCTCACAGGATTCCAGAACAATGCTGCTGGGGTCTACATGTGTGTCCATCCCATAAGATTCCAGAACACTGCAGCTGGTTTCTAAGTGTTTCTCCCTCACATAGGATTCCAGAACACTGCGATGAGGGTCTGAATGTTTGTCCGTAACATAGGATTACAGAACACTCCCGCTGTTGTGGGAATGTTTGTCCCTCACATAGGAATCCAGAACACTGCTAATGGGGACTGAATGTTTGTCCCTCACACAGGATTCCAGTACAATGTTACGATTTTCTTAATATTTGTCCCTCACATAGGATTCCAGAACAAACCTGGAGGGTCTGAATGTTTGTCCCTCTCATAGGATTCCAGAACACTGCTACGAGGGTCTGAGTGTTTGTCCATAACATATGATTCAAGAGCACTCCCGCTGTTGTTTGAATGTTTGCCCCTCACATAGGATTCCAGAACACTGCTACGATTGTCTGAGTTTCTTCCTCACCTAGAATTCCAGACCACTGAGATGAGGGTCAGAATTTTTGTCCCTCAATAGGATTCCAGAATGCTGCTGCTAGGGTCTGAATGTTTGTCCCTCACTTAGGATTCCAGAACACTGCTGCTGGGGTCTACATTTATGTCCGAAACATAGGATTCCAGAACACTGCTGCTGGTTTCTGAGTGTTTCTCACTCACAAACAATTCCAGAACACTGCGACGAGGGTTTGAATGTTTGTCCGTAACATAGGATTCAAAAACACTCAAGTATTTATTTGAATGTTTGTCCCTCACATAGGATTCCAGAACACTGCTACGAGGGTGTGAATGTTTGTCCCTCACTTAGGATTCCAGAACACTCCTGCTGTGGACTGAATGTTTGTCCCTCAGAAAGAAAGCCAGAACAGTGCTACCAGGGTCTGAATATTTGTCCCTCACATAGGATTCAAGGACCCTGCTGCTGGGGCCTAAATGTTTGTCCTTCAAATAGGATTCCAGAACACTACTACGAGAGTCTGAATGTTTGTTCCTCACAGGGGATTCCAGAACACTTCTGCTGTGGTCTGAATGTTTGTCACTCACATGGGATTCCACATCACTGCTATGAATGTCTGAATGTTTGTCCCTCACAAAGAATTCCAGAACACTGCTACGAGGGTCTTTATGACTGTCCATCACATAGGATACCAGAACACTGCAGCTGGGGTCTGAATGTTTGTCCCTCACACAGGATTCCAGAACACTGCTGCTGGGGTCTGAATGTTTGTCTGTCACAAAGGATTCCAGAGCACTGCTGCTATGGTCTACATGTATGTCCTTCACATAGGATTCCAGAACACTGCTGCTGGGTTCTGAGTGTTTCTCCCTCACATAGAATTC